>NC_000001.11:240275030-240426545 GCF_000001405.40 Homo sapiens | reverse complement strand
TCACCTTTGCACATATTTTAACTTTTCCATAATAGAGTAATATTTTTAAAAATCACAAGTGCATATACACACAACATTGGTACCACAAAGTAATAGCTATACACATCTTTTAAAATGGCATTCTAGAAATATTTTTAAGAGGGTAGAATATTGCTTTAAAGACTTCTACTGGATATTGTTTTTGACGATGACTTATGTTCCACAGATAATAAAAATAGACAGCTTTGATTTTTTTTACTTGAAAAGAGGCCATACCACAAACCGAGAACTATTTTATATTCTTTTCAACTTCTCATCTGTTTTTAAGGCAATTCTCTGTCTGGGAATTGTGCACATAAAGAATGACTCAAAATTTGGTTTTTATTACAACCAAAAGAGGTGCTAGTAATTATCCTAAAATAGCATTTTCTTGCCACAAGTTATGATCTCTTTGGAGAAGCATATTCTCTGCAAATGAAACACTATTTAAATAGCATACTGTGGTATTACCAATAGTTATTTCCCATCTATGAGCAGGATTTACTCTCGTTCAAGTATTATTTAAAATCTTGAATTAAAGTCCAGTAATTTTAGTGGTGTTTACTCTGTTGTAGTCTTAGAAGAGGGCACTACAGCTTTGCCCTTATTCATCAGGGAGCAGGTAGTAACTATATGCCAGGCACTACTCATGGCAGAGTGAAGACAAAGAAAAGTGTAAGCTCTGGTTGATGACTTTCTTGAAAAACATTCCTAATGGGTCAACAAATCAAAGAGTCAAGGTACAGAACAAAGCCATTCACCACGTTCTCCCTCAGGTTCACGTGCTGGCAGACATTACCATATGCTCTCAATCTTGGATCTCCTTCTCAACAGTTTCTCTGCTTACCAAATATATGCTTCAAGAAGGAGAAACCCTTTCCTGATCAGGGTAAACCCTTTCATGATCCTGTTCAGAAAATGATAAGCACTGTCTCATGTTTATTCTACGACAACCAGAAGCATATCTAAACAACCTAAGAGAGCACCTTTTGATGTGTGGCAGGTAGCTCCGGAAATGATTCTGAGTATAGAAAAAAAGAATGGATCCACAAAAGCAACTGGGGTGGGGGGAGTAAGCTAAAGATGAGCTGACTTTCAGAATCATAAGTGTTTTTACTTTACTTTTGGCTAGCTGATGCCAGAGAGGCTTCCCATTCCAACTAGAGCAGTAATATCCCATCTTTACCTACCGAGTTTTCGCTTCTGTCATTCTGGCCTCACAGAGCATGACGTTTTGATGCCATACTTGTTTTTCATCTGCCTGGAATGCTCTTCACCCAAGTGTCTCACGGCTCTCTCTCTCTCTCTCTCTCTCTCTCTCTCACCTCATTCAAATCCTTGCTTAGTGAGATCCTCATGAGAAGCCAAAGTAAAAGCTGAACACTTGGCCCAACCTTCCACAACAGCCACCCCTGAATATTCCTTCCTTTTCTCTACAGCACTGACCGCCATCAGAAACACAAGATATTTTCTATGTGTGATAACTATGGCTCTCCCTCCACTAGGATTTAACCTCTTTAAGGAATTTTTAGCATTTATGTTCATGGCTTTATTCTCAGGCACCTGAACAATGCTTGGCACACAGGAGTTGTTTGAAGAATGTTTACTTAAAGAATGACTGTCTCCTGAACAAGGGGCCTAGACATTTCTGGAGGCAAATTTTTTGACTACGTATTAGAAGCAGTCTATTAACCTCAAGCCATGTCTTCTGTGGACTTTGAATATGGATAACTAAGATTTAGTTCTGTCTCTAACCCAGAGTGGTGGAGCTTTGTCGACATAACTTTTTTGAGCTTTGTTCCCCATTTATAAAAGAATGACAGTACTTCCTACCCAATCAGACACCTGTGAGCATCCTTATGGGGATGCCAGGTCCACAGTAAGGTCTACGAGTGAAGGTTCTGTTATCAGTGTGGCAGCCAGAAATAAAAGAGCCTTCTTTAGCCATCCTGGTGTATTTGGAGTGTGATAAGACAAGGAATCTATTCTTCATACAGAGAAGTTAAGGAAAGCAATTCCTTTCCCTCATTCCCATATCCCCACATAATTATGAGATAACTCATGGCATTTATATAAATTAAAACTGATGTCAATATGTCTGGTTTCCAAGAGTACAGCAAGCCAGTGCCACAGTGACTTGATCACCCTTACCCATTTCTCCTTACTTATCTATAGAGTCTATCTCACTTGGCTCAGAAGAAAGTCTGCAGTAGCTACTGCCAAGAGAATTTCTCATTTTATTTATATGGAAATAAAAATATAATCTTTTTCCCTGGAATCACATAAAAGATGGACAATCAGAAATTATATCCTTTAGTTTTGACTCTTTCATATGACTCTATTTCATATTTCATGACATGTTGCTCATGTACACCTATGTATGTATACACAGACACAGAGCTTCCTGCCACCTGTTTAACAGACGTATCAGAATCAACAGTTAAGCAAAGAGACATGCTGAAAGAAATAAATTTGTTTAATTCAACCTCCCTTTCCTCCCACCACAAACATACCTGTAGTTATCAGTAAAACTAACATCACGATTCAGATCTGAGTTGTTTTTATGTTCTGTTGGGGTGTCCAAGCTTTGTGTAGACAGGAACAGATCATTTATTAATTTCCTCTCCCTCTATTGTGAATGCCAACCAGCCTTGGGACCAATGTCCTCCCTCCCTATCTCAACTGTCAATGCAGCAGTTCTGGCTATTTTGAGACACTGTGATGTTTATGTTGAAGGGTAGACATGAAGGGACTCGTGAGGTCTTTTCTTATGCACACATCTATGATTGGACTGGCCTTTTGGCGAGTCAGCAATTCAGTTCTGGCCCAATCTAAATACACCCTGGGGGTCTCTGCCTTTCTCTCTGGTTCTTCTGTGATGTTTTCCTCTACTTTCTTCTCCCAATATCATTGTCCTTTGGGAGTACAGCAAAAAAGGCTGAGTACCAAATGAGACTTTACAGGCAGAATGAGAATTGCACATGTATAACTTAATTTAATCCATATAGGCAGAACCAAGATCATAAAGCCTCTCAGTATGACAGACGAGGCCAAGAGAGCATACCAGTTTAAACGAACTGCAAAGGAACATCATCATAAATCTTCCATTGCTTTTGCGTTTTTTATTGTGCAGTGTTGGATTTTGTAATATTATTCTTCAGAACAAACTAAAATCTCAAGAGGAAGATCTATTTTCAGTTAAAGCCTTCCACAAGTAACTTTAATTTTTGGAATCCTAAATCATCGTCTTCATTTCCACCTCCTTCCCCCACCCTCCATAGGAACTTACATAAAGTGTAACAAATTTTATTACTCCAATAAGGAAGAATAAATCCCCTTTCACTTATTATTAAAAAAGCCTTTGAGGGATCCTCCATGTCTTCTAAAAAGCACAAAGATATTTTTATGCCAACACTCAGTTTGTTGCAGGCAATGAAAAAATCAGAGGAATTCAGAATGGTAAGAGGATAAACTGGCATTTCTTTTATCTTGAAATGAAGAACTGTGGTACTTACACCTTCAGGGTAATTGTGACCTCAGAGCAGCCAACTGCTCTTAGAAAAAAAGGTAATTCAACCCAAGAACAAGTATTAGTTCATACAAAAGGTGGAAGAGAAGTTTGAAAATCTAAGTGACACATTTTCAGGTACTGACTGGCCTTGAGGGACAATGTAAGCTGAGACCCATGCTGATCCCAAAGATCAAGTAACTAAGAAAAGTTCCTAAAATTAGGAATCAGACCATTATAGTCAGCGTATATTTGTCTTATATTTATTGCAATAAGACAAAAAAGGAAATAAAAGATATACACATTGGAAAGAAAGAAATACAACTGTCCCTATTTGAAGACTAATACGTCTATGTAGAAAATGCCAAGGAATCTACAAAATAACTCCCGGAGCTAATACACAAATATAGCAAGGTTGCAGGACACAAGTCAATATACAAAACTCAACTGCTTTCCCATATACCAGCACTGAATAATTAAAACTTGAAATAAAAATTATATAACTTACAGTATCACCAAAAAATAAAATACTAAGGTATAAACCTAACAAAATGTGTACAAGATCTATATGAGGAAAACCACAAAACTCAGATGAAAGAAATCAATTTTTGGAAAGAAGAACTAAATAAAGAGATACTCCATGTTCATGAATAGGTAGACTCAGTAGTCAAGACGTCAGTTCTTCCCAACTTGATTTATTGACTCATTTCAATCCCAATCACTTTCCTAATGAGTTATTTTGTAGATATCAACAATTGATTCTAAAATTTATATGGAAAAGCAAAAGATCTGGAATAGCCAACACCATACTGCAAAATGATGTTGGAGGACTGATACTATCTGACTTCAAGAGTTACTATAAAGCTATAGTAATCAAGACAGCATGGTACTGGCAAAAGAACAGACAGACAGATCAATGAAACTGTAGAACAGAGTGCCCAGTAGACTCATAAAAATATAGCCAACTGCAGGAGGAGTAGGTGGCTCTCTCCTCTCTCCCCATGCAGGTCCAGTTCTCACTCTCTGCCTCTTCAAACCAGGAAGCTGGTGCTCAGGAGCCATGACCTGGTGTCTCCTGCCCATCCTGGTCCCAGGTAAATGTGGAAACAGGTATGAGAGCCTGTCCTTGTCCTTGATTTCCCCCACCCCCACCACAGGCCTCACAACACTGCTACCTAAGAAAATGTTCTCCCATCCCCTGCTAGCCTGGTCAGTGGTCATCAAATTGGAAGAGGATCTGACAGGAGTGTAAATATGAGATAAAATGTCTTGGTTGTACCTGCTTGTGGTTTAGATTTGTATTTAAACAAACAAGGAAATAAACTTGAAAATTATTGGTCATAATAAAAAATGAAACAAGAAAAATTAAAATATTTATTGCCAGGCCAAACCCACACCCCCCACAAAACAAATATAGTCAACTATTTTTTGACAAAGGAACAAAGGCAACTCAATGGAGAAAGAATAGTTTTTTCAACAAACGGTGTTGGAAAATTTGATGTCCATTCTAAGAAAAAATGAACATAAACATAGACATCCGATCTCCCATCTTTCACAAAAATAAAACAGACAGACCTAAATTATTGGTCAACAATTTGTAGAATGGTGGCAATAAAAATTAGGTAATTTGAACGTGTTATATTATCTGGAAAAGGGACAAAGATGTTAAATAAATATTGTTAATTTAAAGGTAGACATTAAAATTAAACGAAATGAAATGTATCATTTCCATAGCATCAGATGTGTACCATCTGAAAGGTACACACCTTTCAGATCTTCCACATTTCCAATTGCAGGAAAAAAAAGTTGGCCAAGGGCCTTGGCTGCCATGCTCTGAAACCAATCACTTCATTTGCACGGAGGTCTAGGTTTGTTTCAGGGTAGTGAGTGAGCTGCAAGAATACTGATACAAGTGCAATCCTACAGACACAAGACTCCTCTAAAGGGGACTTTGGCTCAAGGACTCCCCATTGGCTTCGACAAAACTTTCTTATAATTGCACTGCAGTCCAAGACTTTTCTCACCCAGCCTTCCTTCCTTCCCTCTCCTCCATGGAGGTTGGACCTGCATCAGGTCTAACAGCTGTCCCAGCTTCCTCTGGCTCCCTTCCTGTTTTTCCAAATAAATCCAATCTTGGCACTTGCTTTTTGTAGAACCTGAACTAACAGCAGGAGCACAAGTAGTCTGCGAGAACCGGGACTGAGATGGAGTTCTGGGACAGGTTCTCTTACCGGCCCCCTGTCCTGTGTGGGAATGTGGGGCATGGGCAGTCTCTGGCACACGGTGGCTATGTGATTGCTGAAGACATCACTAGAGCTAATCTGATAAAATATCCTGGTGTCCACACCAGCTGTGACGGCATCCACACCAGCACATTTTATCAGGTTAGCTCAGGTGATATCTTTAGTAAAAATGTCCTGGTGTGAACACCATCACACCTTGCAACAAATGGCCCGCCCCCTCAGAAGCTACCAGCTCTTCTCTTGGCTGCAGGACAATAGGACAACAATTAAGGAGACATCCCTGGAAGACCCAGCTAGGGAAGTGCTAGGCCTGAAAAGGGGTAAGAGATCATATATGGAAGGTGATGCAAGAATTAGCTACCATGTAGTGGAGCGATTCAGGAAGAGGCTCTTCTCTTATAGGTCTCTTCTGAGTGATAGCCAATTTAAAGAGGAGTAGGTGTGCTGGGGTTGCCCTGGCAGATGGAAGAGGAAGGAATGTGGAAGCTGAGAGAAGTAGGCACACCAGCATGCATTGTGTGAGTCCAGAAAAACTGAGCAAAGGATTATCCATGGAAGTTCCCAGAGGCCCCACCCAGAGGCCATAAAGAATGCATCAGGAAGAGGGGTATCAGCATCACTGAACAGTGCAGTTGGAGCTCTTCTCTGTAGGAAGAGGTTGCAGAGCTGGGCTCATTAAAATCCACTGGGATGATAGGATCCTAAATAATAGGGTCCAAGTGGTAAAGCTCAATGACCAGAAGCCCGGGTACCACAATTACCATAATAACCAAAAAGCCAAGGGGCAGCCAAGGAGGCCTGACTCTCAGCGGATTGTGGAGATGGTTAGTGGAGCATAGCATCCTTAGGGGCAAATGACAAGTGTGCTGCTCAACCTCTATGACCACAGAAAAGGGCAAGAGTGGGAAAACAGGAGGCTACAGGTGGCTGCTCTATAGAAAATCATGATTCCTTGATCAGTTCCCAGAACTGAGCCAATTTCAGATCCAGGACCCCCTGACCAAAGGAATTGCATCCCTGTGAGGAAGGACCCTGAAACATGGTAGCAAGGATACACTGTAATGTTTCCCCTAGTCCTTCTACAAAGAAACCTGCAGCCATCACTCAGTAGACTGTATAGTGCAAAAGGGAAATACTCAGATGTCTCGAGGGCCACAGGACACAGGGTCTGAGGAGACACTGATTTCCAGAGACCCACAGCTTCCACATGGCCACTTCCATTACTGCGGGAGCTTACACGGTCAGAAGTAATGGAATCCTGGCAAAAGTACAGCTTGTAGTGGTCAATCACCCACTCTGGGTACACAACTGGGATTGATGCCCTCAGGTGTTTGAGGAATAACCCTCACACTTTTTTTTTTGCCCATAAGGACACAGAAAGGTTGAAAGTAAAATTGTGGAGGTGCTATGACAAATGCGAACCAAAAAGAGCTGATATGTACCAATATTAACATAAGGCAAAGTACAAATTTAGGCAAAAAGCATTACCAGAAAAGAGATAGCACTGAAAACAAGATTAGGTTAACCAGGAAGATGAAAAACTCTAGATATGTAGGCATAAAACGAAAGCATTTGAAAATACACAGGGTAAAAATGTCAGAAGTGTAAGGAGTAACTGACATATCTGCCTGTAAGTCTTTTTATTTATATTTATATTTTTTATTTTTTGAGATGGAGTTTTGCTCTTGTTGCCCAGGCTGGAGTGCAGTGGCACGATCTCGGCTCACTGCAACCTCCGCCTCGCGGGATCAAGCAGTTCTCCTGCCTCAGCCTCCCAAGTAGCTGGGATTACAGGCGCCCACCACCATGTCCAGCTAATTTTTTGTATTTTTAGTAGAGACGGGGTTTCATGATGTTGGCCAGGCTGGTCTCGAACTCCTGACCTCAGGTGATCCACCTGCCTCGGCCTCCCAAAGTGCTGGAATTACAGGCGTGAGCCACCATGCACAGCTATAAGTCTTTACTATACACTCTTGGTAACTGACAGAGAGAAGCTGACAAAATCAGGAAAGATACTGAATATTTAAGAGTCAGTTTAAAATAATAAAATAGAACACTACATCCAACACTGGAACACTGTGTATACTTATACACGTTGGCCATCTTTTGGACCATACAGCAAATCTCAAAAAATGCAAAGAATTATTCTTATGCAGACAGTCTTCTTTTATGTAACCTTTATGTAATTAAGAAAGAAATGGAACTTCGAAAATCCCTTAAGTTTGGAAACTTAAAAACACACTACTAAGTTAATAGCAATAAATAAAAATACATCAACAATAGGCTGGGCGTGGTGGCTCACGCCTGTAATCCCTGCACTTTGGGAGGCTGAGGTGAGGGGATCACGAGGTCAGGAGTTCGAGACCAGCCTGGCCAATATGGTGAAATCCCGTCTCTACTAAAAATACAAAAATTAGCCGGGCGTGGTGGTGGGCGCCTGTAGTCCCAGCTACTTGGGAGGCTGAGGCAGAATCACTTGAACCCGGGAGGTGGAGGTTGCAGTGAGCTGAGATTGTGCCACTGCATTCCAGCCTGGGCGACAGAGTGAGACTCCATCTCAAAAAAAAAAAAAAAATCATAATAAATATAAAAGAATTTAAAACAACTATTAAACAAAGTCTATCAGATTGAATATCAAAATAAAAATTCAGATAAAATAAATACTGCTTACAAATGACATGTCTTAATCACTATAGCCCAGAAAAGTAAAAATAAATAGATGGACAATATATGCCAGGAAAATGTGAAAAGAAAGCGTGATGAAGCATTAATCAATAGAGGATTATAAGGTGAAGTGTATTAATGACAATAAAAAAGGACATTGTATAATGATTAAAAAAGAACATTCCATCAGGATGATAAGAACCATATAGAGTATATTGTCTGAAAACGTCATGGAATTGAAAGATGAAACAAACATTCACAATTATAGCAGAAGATTCTACAAATTAGTAATGATGTAGATGTGAAATTTACGATAAATAAATTTTATTTTAAAATATGCTGTATTTCACTTATTTAGCAGGTCATGGATTTTAAAAATAATATTTTATGTACCACTAAGAAAGACAAATAGTCCAATATGAAGAGTCTTAATAGAGGAGTTGCTCCCATATGCAAACCATAAACTGAGATACCAAAGGACTCACGTAAAAGAAAATGAGAAAGAAATTCCCATGCTGAAAGGGACAGTAAGGAAACTTGTTTCAACTCTGGCACTGGGCAAACAGATGACACCAAAAAAAGTTCCCTTGCAAATATGACTCATAAGCCAGACAGAAATCATGCAGGTTTTCCATCTGAATTCACAGTACCAGGCCCTATAAAAACAAAACAAAACAAAACCCTCTCAAGCTAAAGCAGGGAATTTAATTAAAGTAGCTTCACATTGATAGTGTCCTCAGTTGAATGGCACACACAAATCCAAATCCTCTCTGGAAGAAGCTGACTTTAAATCGAGCCCACATCGATTATAAGATGCCATCCACTGTAAGACGTACCCCAGTCTCAGAGATGTTAAAGGGTGAGAAAATATGCGGATGAGAATATATATCATAGAATCACACACAGGGCAAACTGATTCTTCTCAAGGACATACAAATATTTACTAAGACAGGTTCCATACTAGATCCCAAACTAAGTGTAATACAATTTACTGTAAATCAATAGGAAAATAATTACCAGCAAAGCAAACACACAAAACCCATGCATTTGAAACAGACACAACGAATATACACATAAGTAACTCATCAGCTAAAGAGAAAATAACAAAGTTATAACTGAACAACAATAAAATCTATTCTACATTTAAAAACTAGTGGGATATTGTTAAAGTGAACTTAATGGCAAAGCTAGAGCTCTGAGTATATGATTTTAAAAAAAGAAAAATTAAAAATAAATGAACTATTCATACAACGGACAAAGCCAGGAGAGACAGGATGCAGAAATAAGAGAATATTAAAGAGCAGAAATTTGTGAAATAGAAAGCCAATTAAAAAAACAACTTAAAAAAAAAAAGAAGAGAGAGATAATCAACAAATCAAAATTTCTGGTTCTTTCAAAGACCAATAAAATAGAGAAACATCCTAAAAGACTGGCTACAAAATCAGAAAATGAGGCAAGATTAAATAACATAAATATCAACAAGGGACATAAGTACAGATGGAATGAGGAGGAGAAGATTGGCTACAAAGAATGGAAAGGGAGGCTGGGCGCATGGTGGCTCACGCCTGTAATCCCAGCACTTTGGGAGGCTGAGGTGGGAGGATCACTTGAAGCCAGGAGTTTGAGACTAGCCGGGCCAACATGGCGAAACCCCGTCTCTACTAAAAATATAAAAATTAGCCAGTGTCTAATTTTTGGTGGTGGCACGTCTGTAGTCCCAGTTACTTGGGAGGCTGAGGCACGAGAATCGCTTGAACCCAGGAGGTGGAGGTTGCAGTGAGCTAAGATTGCACCACTGCACTGCAGTCTGGGTGACAGAGCAAGACTCCGTCTCAAAAAAAAAAAAAAAAGAGTGGAAAGGGAATGTACAGGCAAGGAATTGCTTTTTGTTTCTTTCTTAAGTCGTTATTTTATGATAATAAAGTAAATGTATTAATGGCTAGAAGGGAGAAGTTGAAATCAGGAGAGAGAAGTATCCAGATGAGATACTGATGGGAGGAGTTACTTCCCCCAGGCTGGTGGTAGAAAAGGAGACTGATGTGTGCAGGAGTAGTTTCACATACAGAAAGAGGAAGGGGCTCTGGTCTGGTGGATTTACTCTGTGAATTTAGGGCTGGGCAGGAAAATTGAGACAGAAAAGCAAAGAGGGAGAATAGAAGCTGAAGGAGGCTGGAGAAGCTGTGAAATGAAAATAACTGGGGGAAAGGTATCTTCCAAAACGAATATATCTAACATTGTTGTATTCTCATCGAAGCTGGCAGTGTTTCCAGGACAGGGATGTATCTTAATAAACTTTGCAGCTCTTATAGCAGCTATCACATCCTTACTCATATGAATCACTCGGTAAATACTTACTGCATTGCACTGCAAACTTCAGGCCTACTTCTAATTAAATGCTTATCATTACTACCTTCTAGGTGTATTATGACTAATGCTTTCCTCAGAAGCTGAGTCTCTAAGATGCTAACAGTATTGTTTTTACACCGAGTGCAGGTGCTGCATAATCTAGATATTACAAGAATCATTATACACATGTGATAGATTACCAACATCAGGTGGAGACTTCAATTTTTTTTTTTTTTATTATACTTAAAGTTCTGGGGTACATGTGCAGAACATGCAGGTTACATAGGTATACATGTGCCATGGTGGTTTGCTGTACCCATCAACCGGTCATCTACATTAGGTATTTCTCCTAATGCTATCCCTCCCCCAGGCCCCCACCCTCTGACAGGTCCTGGTGTGTGATGTTCCCCTCCCTGTGTCCATGAGTTCTCACTGTTCAACTCCCACTTATGAGTGAGGACATGTGGTGTTTGGTTTTCTGTTCTTGTGTTATTTTGCTGAGAATGATGGTTTCCAGCTTCATCCATGTCCCTGCAAAGGACATGAAATCATCCTTTTTATGGCTGCATAGTATTCCGTGGTGTAAATGTGCCACATTTTCTTTATCCAGTCTATCATTGATGGGCATTTGGGTTGGTTCCAAGACTTTGCTATTCAACATATTTTTAAAAAAGTTTTCCAGCCATTTCTTTTCAGAATAGGATGCTTTGTGGTCAATGCTATGTAAGTTCTGCTAAGCTGCATCAATGCTAAGGGTGTTTCTTGGGGAGATGATGGCATTTCTAATGTCAGACATTTATTCTCAAATGCAATTTTCAGAAAGATGTATAAAGTTATCCTAGACAAGCAAGTTCTTCTGATATATGACCTATTTCCCACTTGTCTTAAAAAACAAACTTTACTATTACAGTTGGGTTCCACTTCTAGATATAAAACTCTGCCACCACAGGGTCAAAATAGTAGATTTTTATAAGCTTACAAGTACCATTTGTGTTGTTTTCATCTGTTTACATTTTCACTGATATAATTAAAGGCAACAAAACACATATACTTGTAAATAATACCAGTGTGAATATCTCCTATTTACATGTTGCCATACAGTTTACAAAGTATTTTAACATCTGTTGCTAGTTTTATCCTTAGAAGGTTATTAGATGGTAGGCAGGGCAGAAACACGATAAGAAAAAAGGGACAAATTATTATTTGGCAGAACTGAATAGCAGCAAAACATCCCTACAAATGCCAATATTTTATTAATTATTTTGGCTTTAAAATTTCGTAATTGAATTCCAGGATTGCAGAGCAGACTATTACTCACAAAGCATTCAGCTTTCACGAAGGCCTGAATTCCATTCTCGGCTCTGTGCTACCGCACTCCACAATACTGGTGAAGTCATTTAACAGACGTGAAGTTCTCTCTCTTCATTTCCTCACCTGCAAAATGGGTACTAAGAATGACCCTACCCATTCATCACCAGAACATGGGGAGAGCCAGCTGGCTAAGGCCTCCAAAGCCCTGCAGCCCCTCCTCATCTTAGATATAGATACAAAAGGCACAGACGATCCAACCTTAGCTTCGGTGACATTGACAATCAGAACTATGACAGAACTCCCTTTCTCACGTAGGAGGCACTCACCACAACCAAGTCCACACAAACCTAAATTTCACCCTGGGGTAAATTCAGAGATTGTGAAGCTAAAAAAAGAAAATAATAATCATCACATACTATTTGGCATTTTAAAAATGTTCCTTCAGTGCTTGGATAAATCTCTGTTTCACTAGCCCAACGATATTTGTAAGATATTCCTGGCATGTTGAAAACCGCATAGCATTGCCACACTGAGTGGAATATCTTTCTTATAAGAGTGAGCAAGGAGCCTCACGGCAGTTGTTAAGGCAGAGAACAAGCACTACCATAGAAGTATTTGCAAGCTAATTAGATTCTTTGGCATCCTAACATTTTTGAAGGCACGAATGCAGTTTATAACATAAAGAAAAATTCTTTGGCTTCTAGTCCGAATCTACAGGGCCCATCTCCTATGATGTCCAAACATGAAAAGACAATGTCACCAAGAAGACACCATTGTAAGCTACTGGGGCACTTTGACTGAGTTTCTATGTTCTCTGGTCCAGCCTGACAATGCCCCTCTATTTCTTTAACTGTGTGTACTCATATTCTCTCTCACCCAAAGGAAACAAGCCCTTCTCTCAGTGTAAATGTAAGTCAGGATCTCTATTAGCCTTTCCTAAGCCAATTAAGGCCAACATATCTCAGAGGTCAAGATGCAGAAGCTGAGCTACAACATTTCATGATGAGTTGGTCCACCTACTGGCACTAGCCACTAAAATAATTCTGCCCAGGATGCTCTTCAGTTCTCATGTCACTCCTATGAGCCTTTAACCCACCCTTCCTCACCGATAAGTATATAACTCCTTCCCAAGCCCAACTCCCCTTCTTCTCCTTGCAATGACACCCCCATGGATCGGGTTCCATAAAAACCACCCACTGACTAGCTCTACCAACTTCATTCTGAAGCCCTCTGGATCCTGATTATTTGGTTGGGGTCAAGGACATTTATACCCCTACTTTCCTTCTCTATTATGTTTATTTGCTGCTTTTTTTTTTTTTTTTTTTTTTTTTTTTTGACAGAGTCTCGCTTTGTCGCCCAGGCTGGAGTGCAGTGGCACCATCTCGGCTCACTGCAAGCTCTACCTCCCAGGTTCACACCATTCTCCTACCTCATTCTCCCGAGTAGCTGAGACTACAGGCGCCCACCACTACACCCGGCTAATTTTTTGTATTTTTTAGTAGAGACGGGGTTTCACCGTGTTAGCCAGGATGGTCTCGATCTCCTGACCTCGTGATCCACCCGCCTCGGCCTCCCAAAGCGCTGGGATTTACAGGCATGAGCCACCGCACCAGGCCTACTGTTTCTTAATCAAAGCATGGCTTTCACCAGACACACTCATATCATCCATAATGATCTTCTCCGGAAGCATTGCATTTCCCATCTCCTACCCTCCCAAATTCAGGAATCAAGAAAGGGAGCCTCCCTATGTCTGGTCTTCCAGTGCTGTTCCCAACCACTGTATTCCTATAATTCTGTCACACTTTTTTTTTTAAAGTTTCTGGCATCACTTACACTTTACTCAACTGCTTCACTGCCTCACTGCTGCTAGTTAGCTACATCATCATTTTCTTGTGTTTTGTGACTACAATAATTGTCTACCCTACAAGGCAGATTTTCTCTCCAGTTATGGCCTTCAGTATATCTGGATCTTCATGTGTAGCAACCAAAAGTGGTTTTAAAAAATGGACCACCCGTCTCCCTCTACATTCCATCCAATCTCTCTTCTTCCTTCCCTCTCCAAATATCTAATAAAAGTAGCTTATCCTCAGTTTCCATTTCCTTATTTTCTTCAGTCCGTTGCAATACAGCTCCTGACCCAATTACTCAAAGTGCGTCAAAATTCAAATAAAACAATTTTTGTTAAGGGTGCATATGATCTCCCATTAATATCACAAATTAATATTTTGTCTTTAGGCATACATTGTAATTATTCTTGAGCTTTTCTGCTACCCTTGTTTACCTAGACCTCTGTAATGTAACACTCTCCTATTTCTCCCCTTTTCACTTTGAATTGGCATCCCTCTTCAATTATGTGATCCTTTTCCACTAGCAGCAACTCAAATATGGTATTTCTCATGGCTTCGGTCTTAGGCCGCTGATCATCTGTGGACACCATCTCCTAAGGTGATCACGTGGACTCTCTCTTTCTGCTCCTATCTGTTTATATTGAGGATGTACAAAGTTCAGCCGCCTGCCACATCACTCCTGAGCTTCGGACTTGAACACTGAACCAAATACTCAGCATTTCTACACGGCTGGCTTATTACCCATCTCAAACTTCTCATTTTATCCTCATTTCAATTTTAGAAATGCTATGTTAATCATCCACATCAGAAACCTAAGGATCATTTGTGACCAACCCTAAAACAGAAGGACATGGAACTCCAACCAGAAAAAACTTTCCAGCAGAGTAAACAAAAAGGCACACACCAAGCAATCCCTAAGTTCTATGTTTTCACGCCAACAGAGAGAACATGAAATGCTTCTCAGAGAAAAAAAAAAAACAACAGATCAAACACAAGGAAATGTCAATAAGAATGTAGTTAGACTTTTTTTTTTTTTTTGAGATGGAGTCTCACTCTGTCACCCAGGCTGGAGTACAATGGCACCATCTCTGCTCACTACAACCTCCGCCTCCCAGGTTCAAGCGATTCTCCTGCCTCAGCCTCCTGAGTAGCTGGGATTACAGGCATGTGACAGCATGCCTGGCTCATTTCTGTATTTTTAGTAGAGATGGGGTTTCACCCTGTTGGTCAGGCAGGTCTCGAACTCCTAACCTCGTGATCCGCCTGTCTCAGCCTCCCAAAGTGCTGGGATTATGGGCGTGAAACACCGCGCCCGGCCGAATGTAGTTAGACTTCTTAAAAGCAACCCTGAAGACTAAAAGACAATGAAGTAATTCCTTCAATTATTTAAAGGAAAATAATTTTCAAGTAGGAGTCTATGTCTAGACAAACTATCAAATAAGTGTGAGGGAAGTGTTTTGAGAACTTGCGTGTCTGAAAATTTATATTGTATATCTTCTAGACAACCTTCCTGACTAAAAATTGTAATACAAGAAGAAGTAGGATGGGGACTAAGAAAGAGTAAGATAAAAATTACATCAACCATTATCATAAATTAACAGAAAATGCCTTAATTGATAAATAATGATACATCAGCACAAGTATGTTACTGAAAACCATGGTAGAAAGTATCAGAGAAAACAGCTGAGAAAAATATAAGAGAGGGTAGGGTTGGCTAGGGCAGGAGGCTGCTGCTTTTTGTTATCAGCCTTGTGGTACTAATTGACTTTTGCAACTATGTCTACACTTACAACTTTGAGAGAAATAAAAATGAATAAAAAGGGAAATGAACTGAAGAAGCAATATACATGTGTAAAAACACGACGATAACAATAAGCTCAGAAAAGCAGACAATTTATCACTTAGAAATAAGTAGCAGAAATAGAAACAAATGTTAATATTCTGTGGCTATGATGCTGACAAAAATCCCAATTTCTAAATCCCAAAAAATTTCTCAATATTTTCTTCTAGTTAAAGTTGAAATTTTAACATTTACTTCCTTAATCCTTTTGGAATTTATTTGGTTGATGATCTGAGGAAAAAAATCTAGAAATCTAGATCTTCGTCTAGATTCTGGAAATCCAGAAATCCAGATCTTACTTCTAGCAGAACCTTATAATCCTAAGGCTGAGTTTGCCCCTATGGATTTTAAAAGTTTGCTTCAATTATTGCAAATTGTCTCAATTTTGCAGCTGTCACTGATTTTCAATTTTTCAGATCGTTAGATCCACTCAGAGAGGAATTTCAAACAGAAAAGCTTACCAATAGTGTTTGCTTCTGATCTGGGACTTGAATATATATTTTTGGATGGAATTAAAAATTACAAAAGAAGAAACACTTGTATTTTTCTACATTTAAGATGTTTTTTAAATATCCACTAGCTATAAACCTTCTATTTTTTTTTTTTCAGATTTATGTACTGTTATCTGGGAGACAGTATATTTCATCTTTTACTAACTTTGCTGTACATCTTTTAATTAACTTCACTAAATTTATTTTGCATCAAATGTTCAGCTTATTATACCTTAAGTAAGCTACCAAGTGTTGAATTTTGACATTTTCTTTAAAAACTAGCTTTTTTGGTCAAAAGAGTACTAAAGTGTGTAATTATTTATGGCTACTGATTTTTAAAACATTTTAATATAAAAATTACTTAGATATACATGTCCTCACACTGCTAGTACATTTTGACCCTGAAATACATAATAGGTTATTTTTAAAATGCCATTGTCTGATTCCATGTAATATTTGCTGACTATAGATTTAGTAAACCAATAAAGACAATAAAGATTTATCACTATTTAACATCTTGCTATTTTCCTTATTGTTTGGGCATTATTTAGTCTATTAAAATACTACAATACTACAATACAGGATAATTTATGGAGTCTACACAAATATTACAATGCTGAATAATTGTGCCTGTATATGTTACTGGAAAGGACAGAAAAGACATTTGACCCCACTTACTTACATTGGGAATTCATATCTTGTAATCTATTAAAAAATAATTTCACATTTTCTACAGTATTATTTACAAATAGCACTTTTAACAATACAGAAATGCAAAATGTCTTATGCAAACGTACACCCTAAGTATAGAGGTAGCTTTTAAAATGAAGTTGATACCAGGCACAGTGGCTCACACCTGTAATCCCTGCACTTTGGGAGGCTGAGGTGGGAGGATCCTTTGAAGTCAGGAGTTTGAGACCAGCTTGGCCAACACGGTGAAACCCCATCTCTACTAAAAACACAAAAAAATTAACTGGGCGTGGTGGTGTACGCCTGCGGTCCCAGCTACTTGGTGGCTGAGGCAGGAGAATCGCTTGAACCCAAGAGGCGAGGGTTGCAGGGAGCTGAAATCCCACCACCACACTCCAGCCTGGGCAGCAAAGTGATACTATGTCTCAAAAAAATAAAAAGTAAAAAAATAAGAGAAAAGGAAGTTGAAACTCTACAATCTCATATCTGAGACCACGGCTTAGCCACTTAAATAGGGCACCGGACAAAACAAATATTTCAAATACAGTTGAGAGATTTGGGATGTTATGTTAATTTATGCATGTCTAACCAGGAGCATATGGGATGTGAAAGGGGAAAAGGAAGGCTAAGCTGCACGAGTTTTGAAAACACTCACAACAACAGAAATTAGAAAGCCCTGAATATAGATTTTGAAAATACGCTTGTCAACCTATAAGGCACTGGTGTTTTGTTTTGTTTTGTTTTGCCTAAGACACCACTGGAGAATCTGAGAGGCTTCAGGAGAAACTCAAGAATCTAAGTTTTTTTCGTGTAAACTAATCATAGTTTATTGATTCATAAACTATGAATCAATCAGCACCTCGATTCATAGATTGAATATTAAAAAAATAATTTTATGGTTATTTTAATGCATCCATACTTTAATTTCTCTAAATAAATGACTACAAAGTACCTATATTACCAATATTAAACTATACTTTCAACCATCATTGAATGCTTGAAATAAAAATCAACTTTAAAATGGTAAAGTCTAACTTGCAGTTCAGAAAAAAAACATGGGATATGATACTTTGGATATTCAGCTGCAAAAACCTAGAATAAAACAAGGTGAACAAGTAGCTATCACAATGTCTTTATTATGTCCTCTTTCTAATTTCCTCTTTTTTTCCCGTTTATTGAAATTATTTTCTAATCTCTGTTGTTCTTATTGCCTTTTTCATTCTACCTTTTCTTTCTGGTAGAGTCTTAGACTTAAGAATCTACTTAAGACTTAGAATAAATCAAGAATGTTTGGCCTAGTTGCTCAAATATTTCTTAGACCAATTTTGAAAACTATGTCAAATATCCCTATTCTCTTTAACTTACGTGCAATATCCTCAAATCAGATAATTTTGATCAATTCATCAATTTTTCCCCGAAAAACTCATGATTCATTGCTAACAATGTCAAGACTACAAACAAAAACAACAAAAAAGATTTTGTAAATTATTTTGTAAGAATATATTTTCATACCATTTAAAAATAACCCCTAGTCAACTTTGGGAGCTGTTTTAGTGGGTTAAATAATATACAATAGAGTTTGGCAATTTTCTGGAAGTAGGATGCGAAATCTACATTTATTCATGCTCATCTAGGGTTTCATGTGCCAGTAATACCCTTTCTCTGTCAAAAATCAGTATAGATGCAACTTTCCATGCCACAGTATTACTAGAGGGATTAAAACATATTTTCATTGCAAATATGCTAACATTTCTCCTTAAGAGACTTTGTGACCAGGAATGGGAGTGTGACCTTGGTCTCACCCAAATGGGCTAACATTTGGAGGAGGAGCAGGCAGGAGAGGAACTGTGGAAAACCTTGGACCTTTGAAATAAATTGCTGTTTGAAAGGTAGAAGAATGCACACTCTTTAGGGGAACAAATCTGCATTTATTATATGCTTACTGCATGGTTAGTTATGGTATTAAGTAAAATATCATGTGATCACATTGAATTCTCACAACAAATGAAGGAAGAATTAATTAATCTCCTATAGATCTTGCTATCTCCCTCCTTGACACTCTCTGCAGATGCAGGACTTCAACGGTGCTGGAATCAGTCATTTCCCTTCTCCAACCCCGATTACAACTTTGCAAGAAAAGTGTAGCTGTGGCCGGGCACGGTGGCTCACGCCTGTAATCCTAGCACTCTGGGGGGCCGAGGCGGGCAGATTACCTGACGTTGGGAGTTCGAGAACAGCCTGGCCAACATGGTGAAACCCTGTCTCTACTAAAAATACAAAAAATTAGCCTGGTGCAGTGGCGCGCGCCTGTAATCGCAGCTACTCTGGAGGCTGAGGCAGGAGAATCTCTTGAACCCGGGCAGCGGAGGTTGCGGTAAGCCGAGATCGCACCACTGAACTCCAGCCTGGGCTACAGAGCGAGACTTGGTCTTAAAAAAAAAAAAAAAGTATTGTAGCTGTAATTTCTACAATTCCAAACCCATACCTACATCATCTTTCAAGACAAATGGTAGGGAAATCAGCCAAAACATTTCTTCATGCTACTTTTAAAGTTTACCCACATGTGATGCATGCCGGAGTAGACAACAAAAAATGAGACGACGAACGTTTCTCGAGGTAACGCTCTCACAATGAAAAAACTTCAATTTAAACAAGTTCACTCAATATACTCCAAATTTTCTCTTTTCAGGATGGTTATATCTGTAAGCTTGATTGTTTCACTAGCCCTTCCCATCTCCCCAAAAAGTTAATGTTCCATTTTCCTTCCTTACATTGATTTTAGAAAACTTGTCTCAACTATAGACCGGGCTGGGGGAGCTGGTATCCTTCATGAGCTTATATTACCTATCTAGGAACCAACCACATTCACCCTTTTGAGAATTTGCATTAACACCCATGAAGAAAATTCAAACTAGAGCCATGAGTGGCAGGTCACTACAATAAACATCAGGTAACAATGATATCAAGTAATTATAATATGCTAACTCTAGCCACGCACCGTTCCATTGCCCTCATTTTAGAAACAAGAAAATGGAGATACAGAAGTTTCAATAACTTCCCCAAAGTCAGAAAACTGAAAAAGAAAATAAAAGGGGCTATACCTGGATTTGAATGCCAGCGTTGTTTCTCAGAGCGCGATCTTAACAGAGGCACTAGACGCCGCCATGGGGGAGATTCTGTGCTTGCATCTGACCCATTCCCCCACTCCCGAGGCTGCTTCCCTTCGCTCCCCCCACTCCCGAGGCTGCTTCCCTTCGCTCCCCCCACTCCCGAGGCTGCTTCCCTTCGCTCCCCCCACTCCCGAGGCTGCTTCCCTTCGCTCCCCCGACTCCCGAGGCTGCTTCCCTTCGCTTCCCCCACTCCCGAGGCTGCTTCCCTTCGCTCCCCCGACTCCCGAGGCTGCTTCCCTTCGCTCCCCCCACTCCCGAGGCTGATTCCCTTCGCTCCCCCCACTCCCGAGGCTGATTCCCTTCGCTTCCCCCACTCCCGAGGCTGATTCCCTTCGCTCCCCCCACTCCTGAGGCTGATTCCCTTCGCTTCCCCGACTCCTGACGCTGCTTCCCTTCGCTTCCCCCACTCCTGAGGCTGCTTCCCTTCGCTTCCCCCACTCCTGAGGCTGCTTCCCTTTGCATGGGATTCTGGAGGCCTCTGAGAAATGCCTTTGGGCGTGTAATGTAATTGAATTGATCCTTTGTAACTTGTAGGCAAATGAGCCCTTCTAATGACAATCTTCTAAAGCTGATTTCTGATTTGCCTTATAAAACGTAGATATAAATCACTAACTCATGCTTTCATTCTCCTTAGAAAAAAATTTTTTTCTTCCTCTGAACAATGATTGTAGACTCAATTTATTTAACTATTGAGTTCTGGAATCTCTGCGGTGCTTGAAGCGTATTTTCTCAAGATGGACAATCCTAATGGATCTGGAACATGATACTACAGTTAAACACATTCTTTTTTTTTTTTTTTGAGACGGAGTTTTGCTCTTGTCGCCCAGGCTGGAGTGCAGTGGCGCAACCTCAGCTTACCGCAACATCCGCCTCCCGGGTTCAAGCCCTTCTCCTGCCTCAGCCTCCTGAGTAGCTGGGATTACAGGCATGTGCCACCAAGCCCTGCTAATTTTGTATTTTTAGTAGAGACAGGGTTTCTCCATGTTGGCCAGGCTGGTCTCGAACTCCTGAGCTCAGGTGATCCACCTTCCTTGGCCTCCCAAAGTGCTGGGATTACAGGCGTGAGGCACCGCGCCCGGCCTAAAGACACTTCATAACCTCATTTGCTAGCCCTTATCCTTTCTACTTTCTATTTTTTTAAAAAACAAAACTGTAGACAAAATAGTATATCCTTCCTTTCTGGTATTATCTTCGCCCTCTCCAGCCCTTGCCCTACTTGCATTTCAAGAGCACGGTGATTAGAATCCCCGGCAAACACACAGTGATTTCATTACTCTTCCTTTAGGTTTTAGGGCACAAAAGTTTAAGAGTTCTAACCTCTGTTAACTTGGAGAACATAGCTTCTGGAGACAGTTTAGTCTGTTCTAGGCCAACAAATATTTTTAAATATTGGGGTGGGAAGGATCTCAAGTTTATACAAAGGAAAGCTTCCATTTTTACAACATAACTTTTCCAAAGGGCAGGAATTCTTTGATGTTTCTCTTATAATTATCAACCAAGACTGGAAAAAAACATTAAAATTCTCATAATCAGAAAATCCTGAAATCCTTCTACTTGAAAAGCGCTAACGCTAACAAACAAACTTCAGGAGCGATCTCCACCTCAGATTTTGTATAACTTTCCAAGGCCAGAAAATCTGCAAAGGGTGTCATGGGCTCCCCTACTGTTGAAAGTCAATGGATTTTATAAAAGTTGGATAATGTAGCCACAGAAGAAAATCCATTTGTACAAAGAAAAGTTGCTGTATCTAAAACTTACCACACGGCCCGAAAATAAAAGGCATGAAACAACAGCTTTCCACCTGGGAAGCCTTGCTCTGCTGGGCCTCCAGACAGTAAATCTTCTGCCAGGATTAGAAGTAGTTAACTAAGAAATCCAAATTGGGAAATAACAAACTCTAACTTTGTTCTACATTATCAATATTATTAAGGGAATGATGTCATTGTTTGGGGCTTTTGCAAAGACATTCCATGTCACTTCAGTTTTAATACCAGGCTGGAGCCTGCCTGGTCGGCCAGCCTAAGCCAGATAAACACAGACCTGTAGTCTTTCTATTCATCTCCGGATAGTTACTCAGAAAGATTCTGGAAAATATGCCTATTATGAACTAAACATTTCACTTTTCATTTTATCCATGTGCCAGAAGTCCATTCCTTGGATAAACATTTTACAAACTGACACTCTAAAAGTCACTAAACATGATAAAGTATGTGTGCATCAGTTCAGAACCGATTAAATATTTTCTCTCCTGTGACAAATGAATAGTTACATACTGTATGAAACTAGTGGAACCCACATTCCGCTTTCTTTCTTTCCCCTTTTTTGTCTTTATTTTGCATGAAAGATTAATTTTCCATTTCAACTCATTTGTTATACAATCTTGGCTTTGCTAAAATACCACTTAAGCAATATTACATGCAGAAATAGTATTTATTTTTTAAAATGTGTGATTTAAAGTTCTTCTACAAATATGCGTTCTTCCATTACAATTTCTTGCCTTTTATTACTGGTTGTTTCCAATTGCCTTGCTATTATTTAAGTAGGAGAGGGAATGTAGTGTATTCTCTTTAAGAATATTTTTTAAAAGATCCTATGAGATCCATTGAGTACATTTTTAAACTATACAGTCCAATCTTTATCACATAATAATGTCCAAATAAAGCACATTACTTATTAATTCTCTAAGTTTAATTGTGCTATTTGCTTCCTTATTAAACAAATTCACTATCATCTTACGGTCTCATCAGAAGATTAGTTATATATAATCTTTCTAGATATCTTTAGCTCCTGGAGGAAAAAAAAAGACTTCTATTTTGAAACATGTGGCATGATCTTGGCTTACTGCAACCTCTGCTCCCTGGGTTCAAGCAATTCTCTTGCCTCAACCTCTCGAGTAGCTGGGATTACAGGCGCCTGTCACCACATCAGGCTAATTTTTGTATTTTTAGTAGAGATGAGGTTTTGCCATGTTGTTCAGGCTGGTCTTGAATTCCTGACCTCAGGTGACCTGCCTGCCTCAGCTTCCCAAAGTGCTAGGATCACAAGTGTGAGCCACTGCACCTAGGCATTTTTAAAGTTTTATATAAAAATTTCAATAGCATGTATGTCTTGTAGAAAAATATAAACATCTTAAACTAAATGTTTTAATCTGTAGGAAAAGTCACAAACTTCCTAGAAAACAATTGCTTTAAAATGATAGGAGTAGTTCATACACATTACTTTGTTTGTCATTACTCACAGAGGGTGTACACCTTTCTCACCCTGATTTCCTTTGTCCAGAATGTCACCTTCAACTGACTAACAAGGGTAAGCTATCTAACTGAATAGTTGCAATAGAATTCAAACTTTACATTCAGTCATTTCTACTAGCTTTATTGATGCCAGAATTAAATTAGTGAAATCAATGCAACTGATAGCTGGAACAAACTGTGTTTCTAAAACCTTTTCTTTTTCTACGTCAAAAGTCAATTTCACCTGAAAATATAGTTTTTACCTGTAGAATTTAAAGAAATAGAAGAAAAAAGTCTGAAGAAAAATTTCAAGTTAGCCTTAGTTCATTAAGTAATAAAGCAGATTTTATCATTCCCAGTCTCATTATTTTTTAAATTTAAATATAAAGGAATGGACATTTATTAGACAAATTCAAAATTTCTACATTCTCTGCCTATGAGCTGACATAGACATTAAGTGACTCTGTAGGAAATAAAAACAATCATATTTGGTCTGGTGATACTTTTCCATAATTGAAGAAAGCCGTGTATGCTAATTAAAAATAAAATAGAAGCAGAAGCTGACATAAACACACACAATGGGGATGAAGCCAACCTTAACAATATTCTGCCGAAATCCATCTTGTAATACAATATGATGGCTTGGCTTGCCCAGTGAAATCATCTGAAGATGAGAATATATTCATCTGCTTTGCATTTGCATTTTGGGTATGGTTCAAGACTCATCTGCCCAGCCGCCTTACTTTCCAGGAGAACTGCAGAGTTCAGTTAAACCATTTATTCGAAAGCTATACAGTTTTGCTCATGTGAAAAAGGAGCTCAAAGTTCCACTTTCTAGATTAATAGCAAAAATGCATGAATAAACAGAATTAGCACATTTAAAACTATTATGCTAACAAATGGAATATGAAAAATGATCTGGCTTGATTTAAAAAATATACTCACCATTGTTTGTTTTTAATACTATTTATAGAAGACAATTCTAATTATTTTCTTGATAAAAGTTCAGCTTATCCATTTTAAATGGGCTAAGAGTCAAGATGTTTTAAAAAATGTACTAGAATGTAAAGACAAATGAGTATAATTCCTTTCAAAGCAAGCTGATAATGTGTGTGTGAGGTTTACAAAATGTTTTCACATGAATAAGCCTTCAAGAAAGGCCTCTTAGGAGCCACACTTGAAGAAGCTTTGCAAAGAACAAGGTACTCCATATTCCTACAGCCCTGGAGGATGAAAGAAAGGGTGAGGTTATATTCCTTTTTACATATGACGAAGTGGAGGCCCGGGAACTTGGGGAACTTTCTGTGGTTTACTCACTTGTAATTCTGGAGTGGCAGAGCTAGGCTAAGAGGAAATGTCAGCGTCCTGTCCACCACGCAGCCCTGCCTTCTTTCATGATAACCTTGGTGAGCATATGGAATGCCAAATTGCCTCAAAAGCTCTGGGAAACTTCTCTTTTGGTACAGAAAAGGCTGTTCAGTTATTATATGATCCTTCTTTGATCCTTAAGGCATCTGATAGCCCAACTCAGCTATCACAATTATCTGTAAATAACTCTCAACCATTTTTAAAAATCAAGCACAAAAATTTGTCACCAATTTGTCAGTGGATCTCCTGCCACAGGGTGTAAAGTAAAACTAAATTGTGTCTGGCTGTTACAGCATCACTGAGATAAAAACAGAATCTCACCAGCCAATTCCATGGATTAGGAACCTTTTGATATATTCATAGAAATGAAACTTCCCCGTGTATTTTCTGTCTCAACGTCAAAGGGCTAAATGGAAGGCTGGAAAATGAAGAACAACTTTTTGAGTACCTCCAAATCTTGCCTCCAAAGTGAATTTCATCTGGTTTGTGATAATATGATACATGGAACATGATAAGAATAATCTATAATAAAAATAAAAGGAGAAATGGAAGACAGGAAAAATGTATGCCTAAATTCATACTCCTAGCTCTCCTCTCCCTCTAGGCTTTGCCAAGACAACTGAAATATTTAGAGATAAAATACAGTGAGGATCTGTATATGTGTATGTGCATGTCTATGTTTTTTTTTTTTTTTTTAGATGGGGTGTCACTCTGTCATCCATGCTGGAGTGCAGTGGCTCCATCTCAGCTCACTGAAACCTCTGACCCCCGGGTTCAAGCGATTCTTCTGCCTCAGCCTCCGGAGTAGCTGGGATTACAGGTGCATGCCACCATACCTGGCTAATTTTTTTATATTATTAGTAGAGATGGGATTTCACCATGTTGGCCAGGCTGTTGTTGAACTCCTGACCTCAGGTGATCTGCCTGCCTCGGCCTCCAAAAGTGCTGAGATTAAAGGTGTGAGCCACCGCCCCCGGCCTGTGTATGTATTTTGTTTCAATTGTGTGTGTGTGTGGTGGTCGGGGGGAAGTAAAGAAAGTCTTGGCCAATTCAAGCAAAAGAAGAACTCCATAAAAAACTGAGGCTTTGGGTTCTAAAGAAATTTACATGGGGAGAGAGTACATATGGTGAGCCACTGTTGAGATTGGGGTGGCAGATAAAATATTCAAGGCCTCAAAGCTGGGAAGGAGACCTGGGACTCTAGAATCTGGGTCAAAGTCCACCATTCCCTCAAAGGCCTGAGAGGAGGCAGCCTACCAGCCAGCCGGGCAGGTGGAAGCCCACAGTACACCAGGCAGAAATGTTTCTGCCTGCTTACATACAAGGTCCTAGAAGCAGTTAACTCGGCTGATGCTGGTGTGCTTATTTTGTGGCTATTAGACAGACTATATGAAGGAATATAGGTGATTTTATTTTTTAGCCTGGCTTCCCATGAGTTGCCCCTGGGTTACATATCTTATTGTTCTGCCAGTGGTGGCCAGCGGTTGCGCTGAGTTCCCTGCTGCCAGTGAGGCTTACAGCATATATTCATGGATCCCTACACAGCTTGGGGATTGTTTCCACGTCAGCCTGACCTCCTGATCTGATGCTCATTAGTGGGTGCAGCCTAGTAAGCTTATGCACAGCCTTCCAACCTCTGGGATTGATTATGATCCCAAAAGGATCCTTCTTGGCTATCTTCTTCCCTTGATCTCTCTGTTAAACTTCTGATTGCTTAGCCATTTTGCTTGTTGCTGCTGTATCATGGAGCTGCGAACGCCCTCTCAACTGCTCTCCATCTAGACCTCTATTCTTTCAGACGAAGCTCTTAGGTATGAAATTCTTCATGTTCTGTTCCAAACAAAATCTGCCTTCTCAAGCAGATCTGTAGAGCTCTGGGCAGGACTTCTGTGCACCTGCACAATGGTTAAAGCTAGGATTAGGACAGTGGTCCACTTCTTCCAAAGCAACACTCCTGCTGTGTAAGAAGGAGCTGAGGTGGGGGGCCCCTAGTCTTCATGTATTCTCCCTCCTGGTGTAGAATCTCTGCCCTAAAATCAGCTAGAGTGGAAGCACTGGGGCCCAGCATTCTCGGTTGGCTACACCTGAGCTGGAGCATCTGCCCTTTAAGTAAGGAAGTGTTGAGAAAGGGAGCCCCCTCTTATCTGCATTGTTAGTCTGGAACAGAACGTCTGCAATAAGCTGGAGGTGGTGGAATGAGTAATTCTGGCAGCCTGCTGACTCAGTGAGAAGCCATAACCTCAGCGTAGGAGCTTGGGAGAGTGGAAGCTCCTATCTTCATTACCATAAGTGTCTGGATTAGAGCTCCTGCAGCGGCTCCCATAAGACGTAATAGGACACAACAGGGAGTGATTCGAATGCCTTAGACTCTCACTGTTCTTACCATGATTTAGATTTTCTTGGACAAATGATTCCTCATTTGCTGCAAGTCCATAGAACAATTTCTAGACATGTTAAATAACTGTTTTATATTGTTTTTTCCAGTTTAATGGTTGCTATGAAGATAGTTCATGCTAAAAGTCAGTCTCCCAAGCTCAGGTATTATGGTAAATGGAAGAAAAGGAAATTGTGAAGAGCTCTTATGAAGTTGATACTCGACATACATATTTTACTCATTTAACCTACTTAATCAGTTAAGTAATGAACTGATCACCACATTTATAATGTGGACATTGTTTTTCTTTTTCTCACAGATAAGGACATGGATTCAAAACCTGAGATAAATCCTCGGAGCCATGGTGCCAGCAGTTTGGTGCAGGTACCAAAATACAGAGCTGATTCCAAAATCTATGCTCCATAACCATCCGAGACTGCCCAGGGCTGCAATCCATGGAGACAGCGAGAAACATGACAACAAACAAATACATTGCCCGAGTCTGAAATCTGACTCTGGTTTCTAATTCTACCACTAAACTTTTTATAATTTCTGATTATAAAAATAATGTGAAAATAACATAGCAATTAACATCTATTGATCACTTGGGACTAAGCATCTGCCAGAGATCATTTAATTCTCACCTACAAAGTAGATACTATTTTCCTGGGGTGAAGGGATTGGTCTAAGGTCATAGAGCTATCATGTGTAAGAGGCAAGATAAGATTCAGACTCAAAAGGCCAGAGGATCAGAGTTACACTGCTTTCCTGCACAGAATTACTACTGATTGTTGCCCCGGTTACATAGGACTGCTGAGAAAATGGCACACAGACTTATTTCTTCGGAGAAACGTCAAATGTTTCATATGATTCATTATTCTTATTTTTACTTTTGAATTTTGGGGTTCATTGTTTAATTATAAAAGATGGCTCTTTTACTAACGATTTTGTCATTTGCTAGTAATTTTTTCATGCAACTCACTGAAATTTCTGATTTTATAATTTCAGGCCTTTGACCTCAGCTTTTGCTTTTCACAGAAACTGGAGAATTCTGTTTACTAGTTTGCTAAGACAATATTTTATATCAAGCCAAGAACTACTAAATATGTGATATCTGTTCAGTGAATATAAAAGATGTCGCCGGCCAGGCACGGTGGCTCATCCCTGTAATCCCAGCTCTTTGGGAGGCCAAGGCGGGCAGACCACTTGAGGCCAAGAGTTTGAGACCAGCCTGGCCAACATGGCAAAACCCCATCTATACTAAAAATACAAGAAAAAAAAAGTTAGCTGGGTATGGCAGTGCACGCTTGTAATTCTAGCTACTGGGGAGGCTGAGGAATGAGAATTGTCTGAATCTGGCAGATGGAGGTTGCAGTGAGCTGAGATGGTGCCACTGTCCTCCAGTCTGGGTGACAGAGCAAGATTATGTCTCAAAAAAAAAAAAAAAGATCTTGCCTACTGAATTAATGGCAGAGAACTTCTTTAATACATTTTTTCCTCAAGGCTAATAAGGTTTCTCTTTAGAAATTGTGATAGTTAATTTTATGTGTCAACTTGGCCAGGTCATAGTGCCCATTTTGGGGTCAAACACCAGTCTAGATGGTATTGTGAAAGCAGTTTTTAGGTGTGGTTAACTTTTTTTTTTTTTTTTTTTTTTTTTGAGAAGGAGTCTATGTTGCCTGGGCTGGAGTGCAGCAGTGCGATCTTGGCTCACTGCAACCTCCGCCTCCCAGGTTCAAGCGATTCTCATGCCTCAGCCTTCTGAATAGCTGGGATTACAGGCCCCTACCACCACGCCTGGCTAATTTTTTGTATTTTTAGTAGAGACAGGGTTTTGCCATGTTGGCCAGGCTGGTTGACCAGGCTGGTCTCAAACTCCTGACCTCAAGTAATCTGCCTGTCTCGGCCTCCCAAAGTGCTGGGATTACAGGCATGAGCCACCGTGCCTGGCCTAGGTGTGGTTAACACTTAAATTACTAGGCATTGAAAAAAGTAGATTTCCCTTTAAAACATGCTGGGTTTCCTCCAATCAGTTGAAGACCTTAAGACTCAGCTTCCTGAATATGAAAGAATTCTGTCTCTAGACTGCTTCAGACTCAAGATTGCAATACTACAAGGAACTTAAACAAATCAACAAGCAAAAACAATCCAATTAAAAAATAGGCAGAGGACATAAATAGACACTTCTCAAAAGAAGACATGTAAGTGGCCAACAAACATGGAAAAATGCTCAACATCGCTAATCATCAGAGAAATACAAATCAAAATCACCATGGGATACTATCTCACACCAGTCAGAATGGCAATTATTAAAGTCAAAACGTAACAGATGTTGGCGAGGCTGTGCAGGAAAGGGAATGTTTGTACACTGTTGGTGGGAATGCAAAGTTGTTCAGCCACTGTGGAAAGCAGTTTGGAGATTTCTCAAAGAACTGAAAACAGAACTATAATACCATTTGACTCAGCAATCCCACTACTGGATATACACCCAAAGGAAAATAATGCGTTCTATCAAAAACACACACACTCGTATGTTCATCACAGCACTATTCACAATAGCAAAGACATGGAATCAACCCAGGTGCCCATCAGCAGTGGACTGCATAAAGAAAATGTGGTACACATACATCATGGAATACTATGCAACTATAAAATGAATGAAATCATGTCCTTTGCAGGAACGCAGATGGAGCTGGAGACCATTATCCTAAGAGAATTAACGCAAGAACGGAAAACCAAATACTGCCTATTCTCACTTATAAGTGGGAGCTAAACACTGACCACACATAGACATAAGCATGGGAACAGCAGACACTGGGGCTACTCAACAATGCAGGGGGATCACGGGCTCAAAAACCACCCACTGAGTACTACGCTCAATACCTGGATGACAGAACCATTTAGATTCTAAGCCTCAGTGTCGTGCAATGTACCCATGTAACAAACCTGCACGTGTACCCCTTAATCTAAAAGTTAAAATTTATAAAGAGAAAAAAAAAAAAGATTGCAACATCAACTCCTACCAGAATTGTCAGCTTGCCCTGCTAATTTTAGACTTGCCAATTTTACAATCGCATGAGTCAATTCTCTATCTTTCTTTACACACACACACACACACACACACACACACACACACACACACGAAAACCTCGGAGATATTGTGGGTTTGGTTCCAGACCACTGCAATAAAGTGAATGAATATTGTAATAGAGTTACACGAATTTTCTGGTTTCCTAGTGCATATAAAAGTTATGTTTACATTATACTATAGTCTATTAAGTATGCAACAGAATTACATCTGAAAAACAAAATGCATACTTTATTAGCAAATACTTTATTACTAAAAAGTGTTAACAATTATCTGAGTCTTCAGTGACTTAATATCTTTTTGATGTTGATGACTACTGATTGATTGGAATGGTGGTTGCTGAAGGCTGGGGTGGCTAATAAGACAACAATGAAATCTGCCACATCAATTCAGTCTTTCACAAAAGATTTCTCTGTAGTATATGATGCCATTTGGTAGCACTTTACTCACAGTAGAGCTTCTTTCAAAATTGGAGTAAATCCTCTCAAACCCTGCTGCTGCTTTGTCAACTAAGTTGATGTAGTATTCTAAATTCTTTGTTGTGATTTCAACAACGTTCATAGCATCTTAACCACGAGTAGATTCCACCTCAAGAAACTACTTTCTTTGCTCATTCATAAGAAGCAACTCCTCATCTGTTCAAATTTTATTATGAGATTGGAGCAACTCAGTCACATCTTCAGACTCTACCTCTAATTCTCTTTCTATTTCTACCACATTTGCAGTTACTTTCTCCACTGATGTCTTGGAATCCTCAAAACCATCTGTGAGGGTTACAATTAACTTCTTCCAAACTCCTGTTAACGCTGATATTTTGACCTGCTTCCAGGAATTATGAATGTTATTGATGGCATCTAGAATGGTGAATCCTTTCCAGAAGGTTTCAATTTACTTCACCCAGATCTCTTAAAGGAATCACTACCTATGGCAGCTATAGCCTTACCAAATGTATTTCTTAACTAATAAGACTTGAAAGTCAAAATTACTCCTTGATCCATGAGCTACAAAATGAATGCTGTGTTAGCAGGCATCGAAACGTGATTCTCTTTGTACATCTCCAGCAGAGCTCCTGGGTGACCAAGTGCATGGTCCATGAGATGTGATATTTTGAAGGCAATCTTTTCTTTTTTTCCTGAGCAATGGGTCTCAGCAATGGGTTTAAAATATTCAGTAAGCTATGCTGTAAACAGATGTGCAGGCTTTGTTGTTCCATTTATACAGCACAGGCAGAGGAGATTTGGCATAATTCCTATGGGCCCTAGCATTTTCAGAATGGTGAATGTGCACTGGCTTCAACTGAAAGTTACCAGCTGCATTATCCCCTAACAAGACAGTCATCCTGTTTTCTGAAGCTTCACTTTTTAAAAAATTTATTTATTTACTTATTTTTGAGAATGAGTCTCACTCTGTCACCCAGGCTGGAGTGCAGTGGCGCGATCTCAGCTCGCTGCAACCTCTGCCTCCTGGGTTCAAGCGATTCTCCTGCCTCAGCCTTCTGAGTAGCTGGCATTACAGGCATGCACCACCATGCCTGGCTAATTTTTGTATTTTTAGTAGAGACGGGGTTTCACCGTGTTGGCCAGGCTGGGCTCAAGGTCCTGACCTCAGGTGATTCACCCGTCTTGGGCTCCGAAAGTGCTAGGATTACAGGCTTGAGCCACCACGCCCGACCCTGTTCTCTGAAGCTTTAAAGTCAGGCATTGACTTCTCTCTAGCTATGAAAATCCTAGATGGCATCTTCTTCCAACAGAAGATGTTTCATCTACATTGGAAATATGTTGTTTAGCTACTTCCATGAATTATCTTAGATCTTCTGGATAGCTTGTAGCTTGTCCATCAGCACTTGTTGCTTCACCTTGCACTCTTTTGTTACAGAGGTTTCTTACCTTAAACTTCATGACCCCACTTCTACTGGCCTCAAACTTTTCCTCTCCAGTTTCCTCACCTATTTCAGCCTTCACAGAATTGAATAGAGTTAGGGCCCTGCTCTGGATTAGGCTTTGGTTTAAGGGAATTGAAACAGGCTCAATGGTCCCATAGAACTGATGTTTATGATTTAATTTGAATAAACATAGAAACTGACCCTTCTGGTCTTGAAACTTGAGAAAGTTACATTTGTCTTTTTTGAGTTCCTTTCTCCAGAAACCAACCATCAGGCTTCCAAGACAGTATCAAGGAACTGAAACTCACCAGATCATTGCATCTGGACAATGAGAGGCCAGACCCTTCACCCATTGTGACTGCCTAACCCACCAGCTGCTTGCTGCTGAGTACCTCCTCTTCCTTACCCCTCCCTAATTCCTGTTCTCCCACACATGGTTACATTTCTTCCCTGCTATATAAATCCCTAATTTTAGTTAGTCAGGGAGATGGATTTGAGACTGAGCTCCCATCGCCTCGGCTGCAGCACCCAATTAAAGCCTTCTTCCCTGGCAATACTCATCTCAGTGATTGGCTTTCTGTGTGGCAAGTAGCTGTGCTAAACCAAACCCCTGGCAACAGACTATTGTGTAACAGACTATTGTGGCTGGTTTGATCTTCTATTAAGACCACTTAAACTTTCCCCATAGCAGCAAGAATGCTGTTTTGCTTTCTTATCATTCATGTGTTCATTGAAATAGACTTTTAATTTCCTTCAAGAACTTTTTCTTTGCATTCATAACTTGGCTAACTGTTTGGCACTAGACGTCTAGCTTTGGGCATATCTTGGCTTTGGATATACCTTCCTCATTAAGGTTAACCATTTCTAGCTTTTGTTTTAAAGTGAGAGATGTGTGACTCTTTCTTTCACTTGAATACTTAGAGGCCACTGTTGGGTAATTAATTGGCCTAATTTCAATATTGTTGTGTCTCAGGGAATACGGGGAGGCCTGAGGAGAGGGGAGACGCAAGGGAACAGATGGTTGGTGGAACAGTTAGAACATACAATATTTTTCTATTACGTTTGCCATCTTATATGGGTCAGGTCATGGTGTCCCAGAACAATTACAATAGTAACATAAAAGATCACTGATCACAGATCACCTGTGGTGATAGATAATAAAAATAAAATGTTTGAAATATTACAGGAATTACCAAAATGTAACACAGAGACATGAGGTGTGCACATGCTGTTGGAAACATGGCACCGATAGACTTGCTAGAAGCAGAGTTGCCACAAACCTTCAATTTGTGAAAAAAAAAAAATACACTTATCTGCAAAGCACAGCAAAGAGAAGTGCAATAAAATGAGGTATGCCTGTGTGTGTGTGTTTATATCTGTATCGCCAGTTTGTTCTTTTTTTCTACAGAACCCTGACGTATATAGAGAGATGCGAGAAGAAGAGAAAATGGAGGCAGAAAAGCAGGGAGATTTCTGAGATATTTTCTATGTTTACCCATAATTGCAAGTCTCCATTCTGGAAATGAAGGTGCATCCAAGGGAAGCTCATCGCTTCCTACCTAGACTTCACTTTTGAATATGGAAATCACATAGTTTTTTTTTGATAACCCAAACTCTGAAACAGGTTCTTGCTATCTTCCTTCTTTTGTGTATTTCCATAGTTCTAAATCCCAGGTAAAAGAGAAGATGCTAAGCTATTCACAATAATTTGGTATTTAACAGAATTATATGTTACCCAGAATAACAAAAATAAAATTCAGAAATTCATTGTAGATTTAGAGCACACCATTTTATTAGATTTATTTTTGTTTTATGCTTGAAAATTAAAATTGAACTAAAAATTGGTTCCTTAAGATGAAATACACTTAGCATGTTATAACGCTATTCTGGGAGGAAATAAAGTAATTTCTCACCATTTATGAGTCTCTGTCAGTGAATTTTCCTCTGCCTCTTGGTCAATTTTGGCTGAAAGTGCAAGAAAATAAAAGTACATGAGATAAATGATAAGTTGTTACACTATTTCAAGCAACATCTGCCCTACATAACGTAACTTATTTTAATTATTAATTCTATTGTACTACAACCAGAAGCTTATTTCAAATCTATGGATGTCATAGATACATGATTTAAATGATTCTACTTAATTTTAATTAAGTTGATCTTATTATATTGACACAGACAAGATATATTATCTAATCAAAAATTTCAGATTCTGAAAAAATTTCTTTAACTCAGTCACATTAACCTGAGAAAAGAAAACACTAGTTTCATATTTACATCAGATGTGTCAGTGTTTAAATGCCAACAATTAGTGGAAATAATTCCCTCAAGCAAAGGTGTAAACACGTCAAAAAAAAAAACCCTAAACAGAAATGGTATGTGACATTTCTCAGTTATGTTAAGAATTTTGAACTCATTTCAATAGTTCATATCAGACCACAGGTGAACAGATCATGGTCTGTTCTGAAAAGGGGGAATGTGATAATATACCCATTTACTTGCTATCATTTTTATTTAAAAATAAAGAATTGTGATCTGCTACAAACCCAAAGGTCAAATTTAAGGAGATTAAATCAGTATTTCGAACTGCTTAAAATAACATAAGAACTCCATCACTTAAAGTATGGCTGTGACTTCATTTTTTTTTTTTGACAAGTAAGCATTCTAGGAATTATGTACTACTTCACCTTCACCCATTTCCCCATACCTCCATACATATTAATATATGTTTGACCTGAAAGTTTTGAAGATACTCTTATTTCATGCAATGCTCTCTGATATTTTTAGCCTATCTATCAGATTTTAAAACATTAGTTGGGACCTGCTAAACTGATTTCATGACTCACTAATGGTTTGTGACCCACAGTTTGAAAATCACTGAGTAACAGGACAAAAAAAAAGTAAAATGTAAAAAATAAATCCTGGGACTAGTTAAAGAAGAAGTTGTCTTTTTATTATCATTCCTCTTTGGGTCACATGTGGGGCCATTTGGAGAACTTAGGAGACACAGTGGAGCAGGGCAAATTGATTATAAAAAAAATGGGAACTGTGCATGAAATAAAACCCATGGTCACTCGAGAACTGTCAGTGTCTTTATCACTACTTACAACACAATAGTACGGCTTAGGCTAGTTCATGTTTTACAGCCTCAAGACAGTGTTCTTTCAAAGGTTTGCATGGTATCTGCAAAGTCATAACCCAGTGTCACGTTGCCACTCTTTGCCAGGATTTTCAGGATTTCACAGGGATCATTTCAGGTGGCAGCAGATACTTTTTTCTTTCTTTTCTTTCCCTTTTTGTATGTCAGATTGTTTGTATAAACTTACAGGTCAATTGTTAACTATATTAAAAAAAGAATGAATATCCTATGATTTTACTTTGAAAAGGCTCCAGCACGAACATATTGTTTTATACAAAATCTGCTCTGAGTTGCCTAGCATAAAAGATGATTTGCTTCCAGAAACAATTCTAGGAACACATAAAGTTTGTTTAGGCAAAATAACAAAAGCACTACAATGCATACTATTTTCAGGAAGGTTATTTTTTCAGTTGCCCTCACATATCTTTGCTTTTTCTTTGCAAAGTACAGAGATTCAGGCAGATTAGAAGAAGGAATTTCTAGACTATTTTAGAAGATTAAAGTAAATGATTTATGAAACTTAAAAACACACCACAGTAGAACAAGATGCCAGAGATCTGTATTCGATTCCTGATTTTGCCACTTAAATTAGCTCTGTGACTTTAGGCAGATTCATCTGTTAACATGTACAAAATACTTAGCACGGTGCCTCCAATAATCAGTAGAAACTTAATAGATAAATATCCTTGGAAAATTCTGGACCTGAAGATCTCAAAATTCTTAAAGTGATATCATACATAATGTTTAACTGAGTAAGTCAACTAATAATTATATTCCAATGTTATATTCAATAAAGAAAACACATACAGCTTTTCAAAAAGCATAAGCTCCTAAATTGTGTTTAGTGGAATAAAGTAAGTTTCATTTGTTCATAATGACTTCTTTTGATGTTCACCGAAACAGCTGTTGCTTAGTTGCGTGAGCAAGTTTGGCCGAAACAAAAACTTTAATCCAATTTGGCAGAAGACTGATTCTTATCGAGGGAACAAAATATAAAACCAAAGCTTCTTACCAAACCTAATAGCCATATCACAATCATAAAGACAAACTGGAATAAGAAAAAAATCTCTTAAAATGCTCTATTATACATTATTTTACATAGTTTTGAAGCTAACGGGATTTGGGTATTCAAACTGTAATCAGCTTTGATAAACAGTCAAATGAGAGATCAAAGCAAGAACATTAGAGTACACATTTCAATTCCTGATGTAGAGTCAACAATTCAAAGAACTGAACAGATTTCCTTTGTATACCAATCTCAGGAAAAACTTTCTGAAAAATTGGGGTGCAATTCCATTTTATGGAAAAACAGAGATACCCTTTTTCCAAGATGGTGTTTGCATAAATGCATCATCACTATTTTATTGTCACAATTTTATTTTTTTGAGACAGGGTCTCACTTTGTCACCCAGGCTGCAGTGCAGTGGTACAACGATGGCTCACTGCAAGCTGCAATTCCTCCTGTCATCCTCCTGCTTCAGCCTTCCAAGTAGCTGGGATTACAGGGTATGCCAACACACCTGGCTAAATTTTTCAATCTATTTTTTGTAGAGATGGAGGTCTCGCTATGTTGCCCAGGGTGGTCTCAGACTCCGAGGCTCAAGCAATCCTTCCGTCTCGGTCTCTCAAAGTGTTGAGATTACAGGCATAAGCCACCATGCTTGGCCAACAATTCTTTTAAACATACTTATGGTGTTAACTTAGTGACAACTGCAGGATGTGGTTGCTTTACATAGTGAGGGTGAACCTTCCAAACCAAAATAAAATGTAATTTAATCGGTGAAAATTAAGATATCATTTGGAATAAAACAAATCTGCCATTCATTTATGGAGCAAGCAAGCTAATTACATGCAGTGACCCCAATCAGACCAGCTATGCTTTTCAGTTTGAGAAACAACTTTTATAGGCTGTGTACCACCACTGTTATAAGCACAGACTTTCAAACATGACTTTGCTGAAGGTAACACAGAAAATAAGGTGATTTTCTATTTGCAACAACTTATTGTTATTTATATATATTTATACATGTATTGTTTTCTAGAAGTACAAAAAATATTTTCAGATAATCTCTAATGGCATAAATGGTTTTGCAGAGTTTTGAAAGCCAGTGTAACTTTTAGTAGCAGTTTCTTATGTACAGATAATCAACTATTAATAAACTTCATTTAAATAAAGTATGCCGAGTGAATTGCATACAAGAGATAAAAAAGATTTCAATTTTCTACTACAAGATTAACTTCCCAACTCTTTAGAGTAGACACCTCATTTCTTTTTGACATGATTCAAATGATCAGGATGGCAGATTTCCAGTCATTCATAATCAAGATAATTATAGGGTAGCAAAAGCAGCATTCAAAATAGACAAATAGGCACAAGGCTTGGCTGGTGATCTTCACATTGTCATCAAATCACCGGGCTTTCTGTGCTACTGTCGCCCAGCAATGCTTGACCCCCCCCCTTTTTTTTTTTTTTTGAGATGGAGTTTTGCTCTTGTTGCCCAGGATAGAGTCCAATGGCGAGATCTCGGCTCACTGCAACCTCCGCCTCCCAGGTTCAAGTGATTCTCCTGTCTCAGCCTCCCGAGTAGTTGGGATTACAGGCGCATGCCACAACACCCAGCTAATTTTTGTAGTTTTAGTAGAGATGGGGTTTCATCATATTGGTCAGGCTGGTCTCGAACTCCTGACCTGAGGTGATCCACCTGCCTCAGCCTCCCAAAGACCACTTTTGACAGAAACATTTTTATGACGCCTAATGGACATCACTGGCCAAGGGCATCCCAGATCTCTGAGAGCAATCACCTCTCCTCCACCTCGGACCATAAAAGCTACACTTTTTTGTAAATGCTTATACTTTGCAAGGTCTTTCTCACACTCTGCCTCTCATCTTCAGATCCCACAAGGTCCAGTGTTGGGAGCTAGAACATGAGCTTTAGTCAGGCAAACCTGGGTTTGAATTGTAATGCAGCCACTGAATTGCAGTAGATTTTAATAACTTTGAATAATCGCTTCTTTGATGTAATAACTTTTATTCATCATTAAAGCAGGGTAATAATTTCTTTTTCATTGAGTTGTTTCATGATTTTTTTTTTTTTTTTTTTTTTTTTTTGCTTTGAGCACCACGTTTTTTTCCTAGTCTTTTTTTTTTTTTTTTTTTTGAGATGGGAGTCTTGCTCTGTCGCCCAGGCTGGAGTGCAGTGACCCGCTCTCAGCTCACTGCAAGCTCCACCTCCTGGGTTCACGCCATTCTCCTGCCTCAGCCTCCTGAGTAGCTGGGACTACAGGCACCCGCCACCACGCCTGGCTTAATTTTTTGTATTTTTAGTAGAAACGGGGTTTCACCGTGTTAGCCAGGATGGTCTCGATCTCCTGACCTCGTGATCCACCCGCCTCGGCCTCCCAAAGTGCTGGGATTACAGGCATGAGCCACCGTGCCTGGCCGAGCTGTTTCATGATTTAATAAGATAATGTATAAATCACCTGGTGTCTAGTCATCCTCTTCCTGTCTTTCCTTTATGCCCACATCAGTATTACTACAAAGTAGGATGGAGATGCATTGCTTGCAATATGTGAAAAGTCTTCCATTGTAGGAATCTCACATATTTCCTTGTTAATTTTTCTATACAGAATCCAGATGTTGAATTAAAAATATACTTTGCTAAAATAAGGTTGCCTCTTTACAGCAACAGAGAAATTATGGCCCAAGACCTTTATAAAACCACGGGATTGCTTTAAAATATATTTAATAGATTTTATTTCTACTTAATTTGTGTGTGAAGTTGTTTTAATTGGCATAGAATGGAGAAGTCCAATGCCTACAGGATAAACACAGAGGCTAATAGCTCCTTAGTCCCCTCCCCACTTTTTAAAGACATAGCAGTAAATAAAATTGCTACAAGGGATAAGATAATACTTCATGTGAATTTAGTGAGAACCTGATGAAATCTAAAAGAATGATTTTTAAAAAATGCTTAATCCTCTTCTAAAGCTCACCTTTTTATTCCAAACATACTGTGGGTAATTATTCATAGCTTGGAGTTTGAGATCCACTGCCAAGGAAAATGTTCCGAGATAGAGTCTACTGAAAATAGAAGTAGTAGCGGAGTAGAGTGATAGTAAAATAAAGCAATCAATTCTCTACTGACACTGGAGGAAAGGAACAGGATGATGTAGTTTAAGAAAAAAGGCAACAATGAAAAGTGGTTTATAATGACAATATTCAGAGAATACCAGTAACTCTTATTTGAATAGACCTAAAATTGCAGCTCCTTAGGGAAGTTGATCAATTGCTGCACCTATTATTTTAGCAATGATGTTTCCCCTTTTGCCCACCCCGCAAATCTCAAATGCTAGAGATCTGCAGTTTGAGGCAAAGAAAGCCTGTACTTGGAACCATACAATAAAAGAAACACCAAATGTTTTAGGAGGCAGCCTTTATTTATTTGGTTAATTCTCTTTCCATCTATTTATTCTAGAGTTAAGGGCATAAGATTACCTTTTAGGTCTGATCCTACCAAAGAGACCATCGGCTCAGACAGTCCTGTGCCACTGAACATGAAACTGATTACAAATAGTGATTTAATGGTTCTGTTACAGCATTTTTGCATTTGGTGATATCTTCTCCAACGGCACTAATATATCCGACTCCACATTTCTACCTCCACAAATACTTTCTGGTGGTTGCTGTCCTACTAAGTTACTATTTTGACCCAGTGATTAGTGTCTGTAGTCGCTGTCTGGCTCCAGACTCTTTCGCAATGTGAAATACTTCTGCTGAACTTGTTCCAAATGGCTATGAGTAAGCAAAGACACGAAATGGACGCCCTTTCTGATCTTGAGCTTTCATGAGGGAATACCACATATTCCCAGGTAATTGGAGACAGAGTTGCATTTGAGTAATATCAGATGGAAGGCAACTCAGAACCCTTTCATCTGTTTGTCTAGGCTCTAAATCTTTTTGCTATTTTTCCTTTTTATTTAAAGTGTTAACTAGTTTTTGTTTATAATTAGCTATGAATGTGCATTCCAGTTGCTTTTAAGTGCAGCCAGTATGGGATATTTTTTAGACAGATGCAGTGCCTTTCTTCTGACTCATTTAAAGTTGTCATTTAACTGAAGATATATTGCCTTAGTTTTGAGATTTTTGACACACTCTTCCTTTTGACAATGAACTAAAAGTCAGGTAAATTTAAGTAGTTCATACATGTCACAGTGCATGACTTTCAGAATATCTTTCCTTAGACTGCAAGAGAAATAACTAAGTCCCAATGCATCTTCCTTCTCTATGCTGTGCATGTTCTTAGGACAATAAAACAATGTTGTGGAATACTCCTAGGAGGAAGAAAGAGAGCATTTGAGGCATAAAATGTCAACCTGACTTTTGCAATAATTTACAGCTACCTTTTATTTAATACTGAGGGTTATTTCAACTTTGTACATAAATATATATATATATCATTGTGCCTCTAGAAATATAGGTGTATATAAACATATGGGGGCTAGTTATTAAAAACTCAAGAAACATATACATAATAGAAAATGACACATACTTTAAAAATTCTATATGTGGCTTCCAGCCAAACATAAAATACAGGAAAGCCGTGTGCTATTATCACCCAGCCTGATGTACGTATTGAAGTGGTCCTCAGTGAAATTCCTCTCCAAATCTTCGTTTTAAACCCAAAGTAGAGAAGACATGGGAAAACATAATACGCATCCACGAGCTAGACAGTACAGTAGACAGTACAGTCTAAAGGAGCTGGAACAATTTTCCAACTAGAAAATTGCTAACTCAAACTAAATTTTTATATCAAATCATACCCAAATCTATATATTACTCTACCTACAGGCTAAGCAAATCTCTCCTGGACTTTCACTAATGTAGCATAGAAATAAAGACATGCCTTGGGCCAATTCCTTTCCTTTTTCTTTGCTAAGAGACAACTACCCTATTGAAGAATATAAATGAAGCATACATACTTACTAATACCAGGCTGAACTTAAATAAAAATCCTTCGGATAAAACGAAAACCTCGTTGAGCCTTTAACTAAAAATAAGTAAATACACGCATTAGGGCTGAGCTTTCCATATTGAAAGCAATACCAATTAATTTCAATTTAGGGATTCAAACTATCAAAACACAAAACTGCTGGAAACAAAAATAAGAAAGCCAAAAAAACTTCTGATGTGTTTCTTTTCTTCCTAATCTTACTTGCCAAAACAATGCTTAAAGCCTAGGTCATTCCAATCCTACAGACAAAAGCCACATAATTTAACATTACAATATTTCAGTCAACATTTGAATGTCTAGCTTTGTTGGGGACTCATATGCAGGTAAATATTACATAGTTTTTTCCTTTAAGAAAATGGTAGATGGAGAGAGAGACAAATAATCATACATGTAGATGTTTTAGAGATGTTTAAATGGGAATGTTAATATGGAATGATGTTGATATTACTATTCTAATTCTTTACATATAATAACCCAAGATAATAAAACCCTGTAAGAAAGGGTTTATAATTATTCCCACTTAAAATCAGGAAATTAGCAATTAAAAAACTTGATTTAGATTCCAGAAACACTAAATAAATGAGACAGGATTCCAACTCATGGAGTCTGACTCCAAAGCCTTAACACTGGCAAATTAGTTATGAGTACAGTTAAGTGAAACATCCATTTGCCTATCGAGAGAGAAGTCAATAAGGAAAAGACAAAGGCAATGCAGGGTGAGTTGGGACTAAAATGATGAACAAGTCTTAGTCAAGTAGAAAAAGGAGCAGAGACCGGAGAGGGTAAACAATGAACAGTGGGAAAAAAGACACAGAAGCAAAGGTGCACCATAGTTCGAGATGTCAAGAAGAAAGATAAAGGAGACAAAACTGGAAATACAATGGAAAAGAGCTGGCAAAAATGCTGTGCAGAGGCAGCACCAGCCTCTCATGGTGTGATCATACAACAGGCAAAGCAAAAGAGGCTGAACTGTGTTCATTTTATTTATTTTTGCCTAGAATATATTTCTTTCTTTTAAATATTATTATTTTAGATTCTGGGGTACATATGCAGGTTTGTTACATAGATATATTACATAATGCTGAGGTTTGGGCTTCTATTGAATCCATCACCCAAATAATAAACATGGTACTCAATAGGTAGTTTTTTGACCCTTCCCTCCTCTTCCTCTTCCCACCTTTGGAGACTCCAGGTCTATTGTTTCCATCTTTATGTCCATGTGTAGCCATTATTTAGCTCCCACTTGAAAGTGAGAACATGTAGCATTTAATTTTCACTTTCTGTGTTAATACGCTTAGGATAATAGCCTTCAGCTGCATCCATGTTGCTGTAAAGGACACAATTTTATTCTTTTTATGACTGAGTGGTATTCCATATATATATGGTAGTACACATAGTATAGTAGTATTCCATATATAAAGAATATATATATATATATTTTTTTTCTTTCTCCAGTCATCTGTTGTGATGCTGTTGATGGATACAGGTTGATTCCATGACTTTGCCACTGAGAATAGTGCTGTAATAAACATATGAATGCAGGTGTCTTTCCTACACAATGATTTCTTCTCTTTTGGGTAGATACCAAGCAATGGGGTTGATTGCTGGGTCGAATGGTAGTTCTCCTTTTAGTTCTTTGAGGAATCCCCAAACTGTTTTTTGTAGAGGTTGTACTAATATACCTACCAACAGTATATAACTATTCCCTTTTCTGCACATCCATGTCTACCTCTGCTGTTTTTGGCTTGCTAATAATAGCCATTCTAACTGTTGAAAGATGGTATCCCATTGTGATTTTAATTTGCATTTCACTGATGACTAATAATGTTCAGCAGTTTCTCATAAATTTGTTGACTACTTATATGTCTTCTTTAAGAAATGTCAACTTTTTAATGGGATTGTCTTCTTCTTGTTGAGTTGTTTGAGTTCCTTGTGGATTCTTGATACTAATTCTTTTTCAGGAGCATAATTTGCAAGTATTTTATCCCATTCTATAGGTTGTCTGTTTACTCTGTCAATTATCTCTTCTGCTGTGCAGAAGCGTTTTCATTTAACTAAGTCCCATTTATCTATTTTTTATTCTGTTGCATTTGCTTTTGAGGTCTTTGTCATAAATTCTTTGCCTAGGCCAATGTCCAGAAGAATTTTTCCTAGGTTTTCTTCTAGCATTTTTACAGTTTCAGGTATTACATTTAAGTCTTTAGCCCATTTTGAGTAAAATTTTGTATATGGTGAGAGACTGGGGTCCAGTTCCATTGTTTTACATATGGCTATCCAATTGTCCTAGCACCATTTATTGAATACAGTGTCCTTTACTCATTGTTTATTTCTGTCAGCTTTGTTTAAGATTGGTTGGTTGTACATATGTGGCTTTGTTTCTTGGTGCTCTATTCTGTTCTACTGATCTATTGTGCCTAATTTTGTACCAGTACCATGCAGTTTGGGTTACTATAGTCTTGTGGTACAATTTGAAGCTACAAAACGTGATGCCTGTTTTTTTTTCTTTTTATTTAAGATTACTTGGTTATTCAGGCTCAGTTTTGGCTCCATATGAATTTTAGGATTGTTTTTTCTGTGAAAAATGATGTCGGTAATTTGATAGGAATTGCACTTCTGCAATTTTGTAGATTGCTTTGAACAGTATGGTCATTTTTTTTTTCTTTTTGAGAGGGAGTCTCACTCTGTCACCCAGGCTGGAGTGCAGTGGCACGATCTCGGTTCACTGCAACCCCCGCCTCCTGGGTTCAAGGAATTCTCCTGCCTCGGCCTCCTGAGTAGCTTAGATTACAGGCAGCCACCACCACACCTGGCTAATTTTTGTATTTTTAGTAGAGGTGGGGTTTCACCATGTTGGCCAGGCTGGTCTCGAACTCCTGACCTCAGGTGATCCGCCCTCCTTGACCTCCCAAAGTGCTGGGATTACAGGCCCAGCCGGTATTTTAATGATGTTGATTCTTCTGATCCATGAGTCAGAATGTTTTTTCATTTATTTGTGCCATCTACACAATTTCTTTCATCAGTGTTTTGTAGTTCTCCTTGCAGAGATCTTTTACTTCCTTAGTTAAATATTCCTAGGTGTTTTACTTCTGTGTATATGGCCATTGTAAATGGGACTAAGTTCTTGATTTGGTCTCAGTTTGAATGTTAATCGTGTACAGAAATGATATTTATTTTTATACATTTATTTTGTAACCTGAAACTTTGCTGAAGTCATTTATTAGGTCTAGTTATCTTTTGGAGGGATCTTTAGGGTTTTCTAGGTTTAAAAGATCATGTCATCAGTGAGGAGAGATAATCTGACTTCTTCTTTTCCAATTTGAATGTCTTTAATTTCTTTTTCTTGCTTGATTGCTTTGGCTACAACTTCCAGCACTATGTTGATTAGGAGTGGTGAGAGTAGACATCCTTGTCTTGTTCCAGTTCTCAGGGAAAATGCTTTAATCTTTTCCCCATTCCATATAATGTTGCCTGGGAGTCTGTTGTAAATGGTTCCTATTTTGAGATATGTTCCTTCAATGTCTACTTTGTTGAGGGTTTTTATCATGAAGCAATGTTGGATTTTACTGAATGCCTTTTCTGCAGCTGTTAAGATGATTGGCCAGGCAGGGTGGCTCATGCCAGTAATCCCAACACTTTGGGAGACCCAGGCAGGCAGATCACCTGAGGTCAGGAGTTCAAGACCAGCCTGGAAAACATGGAGAAGTCCCGTATCTACTAAAAATACAAAAATTAGTTGGGCATGGTGGCGTGTTTCTGTAATCCCAGCTACTCAGAAGGCTGAGGCAGGAGAACCGCTTGAACCTGTGAGGCAGGGGCTGCAGTGAGCCAAGACCTCGCCACTGCACTCCAGCCTGGGTGACAGAGCGAGAATCTGTCTAAAAAAAAGAAAAAGGATGATCATATGGTTTTTTAAATCTCTTTGTGTGGTAAATTATTATTTATTGACATGTGTATGTTAAACCATCCTTGCATTCCTAAAATAGAACCCACTTGATGGTGATGTATAATATTATCTTTTTGATGTGCTGTTGGATTTGGTTTGCTAGTATTTTCTTGAGAATTTCTGCATCTATGCTCATCAGAGATATACCCCTGTGTGTTTTGTTTTCTGTTGTTTCTGTTGTTGTGTTCTAGCCTGATTTTGGTACCAGGGTCATACTGTTTTCATGAATGAGTTACAAAGGAACACCTCCTCCTTGATTTTTTTGAATAGTTTTAATATGCTTGGTTCCAACTCTTTGTATATCTGGTAAAATTTGGCTGTTCATCTGTCTGGTTCTGGGCTTATTTTTGTTTAGAGATTTTTTTAAAAAAATTACTGACTCAATTTCATTACTTGTTACTAAGTTTTCTAGTTTGTGGGCATAGAGATGCTCATAATAGTCTCTGATGATTTTTGTATTTCTTTGGTATCAGTTTGTATTGTTACCTTTATCATTTCTGATTGTGCTTATTTTAATCTTTTTTTCCTTGGTTAATCTAGCTAGTGGTCTATTTTGTTTATCGTTTCAAAGAGGTAACTTTTTGTTTTGTTGATCCTTTATCATTTTTTTTGGTCTCAATCTCATTTAGTTCTGCTCTGATCTTTGCCATTTCTTTTTTTTTTTTTTAACTAGTTTTGAGTTTGGTTTGTTCATGCTTTTCTAGCTCCTTGAGATGCAATGTTACATTGTTAATTTGAGATCATTCTGTGTTTTTTATGTAGGCATTTAATGCTATAAACGTTCCTCTTAGCACTGTTTTGCTGCATCCCAGAGGTTTTGGTATTGACCAAGGGAAAAAAGTGGAAATATTTTCCCACTAGTTTAAATTTAACACAATTTATCAGTTCAACAGGATTTAATTATCCAAAATATATATGTACCCAGTAGCAGTTGTATCTAGTTTCATTCATTTCAAAAAACCTTTTGATTTCTACCTTAATTTTGTTGTTTACCCAAAGGTTTTGTAGGAGCAAGTTGTTGAATTTCCACATGCTTGTGTAGTTTTTTGAGAGTTCCTCTTGGTATTGATTTTCAATTTTATTTTACTGTGGTCTGAGAAGACACTTAATATTATTTTCATTTAAAAAATTCATTGAAACTTGCTTTTTGGCTAAGCACATGGTCAATTTTGGAAAATGTTTCATGGACAGATGAGAAAAAATATATGTTCTGTTGATGTGAAGTAGAATATTCTATAAATGTTTTTCCATTTGGTCTAGAGTCCAGTTTAAGCCCAGAGTTCCTTTGTTGATTTTCTGCCTTTATAATCTGACTAATGTTGCCAATGGTGTATTGAAGTGTCCCCAAATTACTCTATTGCTGTCTATCTCTTGTCTTAGGTCCACCAATATGTTTTTTTAAATGAATCTGGGTGCTCTGCTATTGGGTGCATATATATTTTGGATAGTGAAATCCTGTTGACCTGATGAATTGTGTTAAATTTAAACCAGTGGAAAAATATTTCCACTTTTTTTCCTTGGTTAATCTAGCTAGTGGTCTATCTATTTTGTTTATCATTTCAAGAAACCAACGTTTTGTTTTGTTGATCCTTTATCAACTTAATTGAAGTGGAACTTCCACTTAATTGAACTTAATTCCGGACTTAATTGAAAAGAACCAAACTTACCCTCCTGCTGTAATTAACTAGAAAAATGTATTTAATATATGAAACTGTTTTCATATACTGAAAAATAAGCAGTATAGGAGTCTGATCTGTGTAGTGCCCTTCAATCTTCCTAGATTTCTGTCTAAAAGCAATTTTAAAATCATAGATGCTAGAAAGGAGACCCCAAATAAGCCAACCAGTTTTGCTGAGTTGAGGAAATACAGATAGAAGTCTAGGTAGGCTGACATGACTAAAAGATGAGGAACAGAGTTCCAGAGAGGAAATACTTTGCAGAAAAGAAGGATCAAAAATCTGCATTAAGCTTTCTGACTTTTAGCTGGGTATTAAGTGGCACCTGTATACAGTAAAATTATACAAGTACAAGCAAAGAACCACCAAGAAAATATAAGCTTAACAATTCCCAAAGCTTTTACAGGGCCAAAAGATGTTCGATGTCTAAAGAGCCAGAGTGGAGAGCTGTCACTGATCACAAGAGACAGGATGGTCTTGGAGACCTCAGTGGGGTAGGTAAATTATTAGTAAAACCAAATTATCACTGGCATGAAGGATGCCCCAGACTAGCCTAAGCAAAGCTTAAAAACAAGCCTTAAAGGGATCAACTGAGTCACATGTTGTTTAAATTATCTGCCTAAAGAAAGCCAAATATTCTAAAGAAATGCACAAAACCTACACACCCAACAACATAATGTGCATAGTGTCTAGCACTTAATAAGAAAATTACTAGACCAACCAAGTATCAGGAAAGCGCAATCACATTCTTTAAGTCAATAGACACAGACCCAGGAATGACAGGAGATGAACCAGCAAATAAGGATATTAATACGAATGTAGTTTTTTAGTAACCACCCTCAAATATTAAAGAAAAACATGAACATAATGAGAAGAAAATGGATGATATAAACAAAAGAACTCAGTGGAACTTGTAAAGTTAAAAATACAGTATCCGAAATAAAAAGTCCACTGAATGGAAATCACGTAAGATTAGACACTGCAGAGGAAAATAACAATAAACTTTAAGATGTAAAATTTGGATCTATTCCAACTGAAGCACATAAAGGAAAAGATTGAAAGGAGAGCAGAATATTGATGAACTGTGACATTAGTAAACATTCTAGCATAATGTATCATTTTAGTCCCAGAACAAACCGAGAGATGGAGACAGAAAAATCACTGAGGGGATAAGGTTCAAAAGTTTTCCCAATTTGATACACACAATAAACACCTAAATCCAAAAGCCCAATTAACCTCAAGAAAGAGAAAAACACAGCCAGACATGGTGGCTCCCACCTGTAATCCCAGTACTTTGGGAGGCCGAGGTGGGTGGATCACCTGAGGTCAGGAGTTCAAGACCAGCCTGGCCAACATGGTGAAACCCCATCTCTACTAAAAATACAAAAATTAGCTGGGTGTGGTGGTGGGCACCTGTAATCCCAGCTACTTGGGAGGCTGAGGCAGGAGAATCGTTTGTTCTTGGGAGGCGGAGGTTGCAGTGAGCCAAGATCATGCCATTGTACTCTAGCCTGGGCAACAAGAGTGAAACCCTGTCTAAAAAAATAATAATAATAAAAAATAAAAAAAAGAAACAAAAAAGAAAGAGAAAAACACATATACACATATACCAATGCACATCATAATAAAAATCCTATAAACTAGCAATAGAGGTAAAATTTAAAAACAACCAGAGTTTAGATGGGGAAGGAGTGGGGAAACACATTTTATAACAAGTAACAAAAATATAAATTCCCAAGACTTTGTGGTAGGCAGAATAATGGCCCTCTAAAAATGTCCATGTCCCAATCCCCAGCTATGAATATGTTATATTACATGGGAATATAATATAATAAATTATGGGGGAATTAATTTATTAATCCCCAGCTGTAAATATATTACATGGGAATATAATATAATAAATTAAGGGGGAATTAAATTGCATATGGAATTAAGGTTGCTAATCAGCTGACCTTAAGATGAGAAGCTCATCTTGTATTATACCTCGTTGTCCCAGTGCAATCACTGGGTCCTTGTAAGTGAAAGAGAAAGGTAGGAGAGTTAGCGACAGAGTGATACATCACAAGAAAACCTCAACCAGCCATGGCTAGCTTGGAAGATAGCTAGAAGCCATAAACCAAGGAATGTGGGCAGCTTCTAGAGTCTAAAAAAAGGCAAAGAAATGTATCCCCTAGATACTCCAGAAGGAACACAGCACTGCTAATATAATTTTTGTCCATTTTGAGTTTCTGACCTGAAGAAATTACAAATTTATTATTTGTATTGTTTTAAGCTATGAAGTTTGTGGTAATTTGTTACAGCACTAACGGAAAACTAATATAGATTCCTTGTCAGAAACTATGCAAACACAAGACAAAAGAACAATATCTTAACTGCAGAAAGAAAAAAAAAAAACCTGTTAACTGAGAATTCTACATTCTGTAAGAATATCTCTCAAAAATGGGAAATAAATAATTTCAAGAAAGCAATGGCTAAATAAATTTTCCACCTGTAAATCTACATAATGAGAAATGTTAAGGAAGTTATTCAGGTAGAATAAAAATGATACCTAATGAAAAGCTGGATCTATGCAAATGAGTGAAATAAACTGGAAATGCTAATTATGAGGATGAATATAAAATACAATTTTGTCATTTAAAATTTTTTTAAGATAATGACTTAAATGCAAGTAGGAGCAATATATTGTTTTGGTTATAACATATGTAGATGTAAAATATATGACAACAATAGCACAAACAACAGAAGGGAGAATGACAGTATACTGTTGTAGAGTTCTGACATCACCTGTGAAGTTGTGTAATACTATTTGAAGATAGACTGTGATAAATTAAAGGGGCACACCACTAGAGTGACCACTGAAAATATTAAACAAAGATGTATAACATATAAGCCAATGGTGGAAATAAGATGAAATATAGTTGTCCCTCAATATCCATGGGAGACTAGTTCATCTATGGTATCCCACAGATACCAAAATCCATGGATGCTAAAGTCCCTTATATAAAATGATGCAGTATTTGCATATAACCTACACACATCCTCATATATACTTTAAATTATCTCTGTAATAATGTAAATATCATGTAATATAATATAAATACTATGTAAACAGTTGTTATGCTGTATTGTTTGGAGAAGAATGACAAGAAAATAAGTCTATACACATTCTATAGGTACGAACATCCCTTTTTTGTTGAAGTTTTTTGATCTGCAGTTGACTGAATCCACACATGCAGAACCCACAGATATGAAGGGCCGATTATATTAAAAAATACTAATTAATAAGAAAAAAGGGAAAGAAAAAAAGAAGGAAAACAATAGATGAAACAAATAGTAGACAAATATAAAGATCATAAATTAAACTCAACTCTATCATTACTACATTAAATGTAAATGTTCTAAATGTCCCCAATTAAAAGCCAGAGATTGTTTGGCAGGATAAGAAAAATAAGACTCAACTTTATGCTCTCTAGGAAAAGAAATTCACTTAAAATATAAATACACAATTAGGTTTAAAGTAAAAGATAAAAGGGTATATTATGTAAACACTAGCCATAATAAAGCTGAAGTAGCTGTATTAAAAATAGGCAAATCAGACCTCAGAACAAGATATAGTACCAGGAAAAAAGGAGAATCAATACATAATGATAAAGGGATCAATTCAAAAAGAAGATATAACAATTCTACCTATGTTTGCCTCCAAAAAAGTATTATGAACTTCAAAATACATAATGCAAAAACTAAGAAAAATAAAATGAAAGAAAGACAAAATTCCCCAACTGACAAAACAGAAAGAAAAAATAGACAATCAAAAGTTGTAACTAGAGATTACAGCCTTCTTACTAACTGATAAATAAATTAGAAAGAAAATCAGTAAAGACATATTAAACAACACTGTCAAAGCAATGGAGACATTTATACAATACCCTGAAAACCTGACAGGTCACCCTTGCAGCTGGGGAATGAACTGCAGGGAATGGAGGCTGGAGACAGACATATCAATTGAGAAACTATTATGATAATGTGGATAGAAAGTAGAAAGCCATGTGAGAGACAATCTAGAGTTAAGAATGCCTCTGAAGTTTCATGCCGGGAAATGGATGGGAATAGGAAAGTTCAAAAGGGTAAATATTTCATTTGATGGTTAGAGCAACAAATATTCCTAAATGCATTGCTTTATTAATAAAAACACTTCCATGAATTGTATGAGATCCATTAGGTATGCCTTCTAACCATCTTCTGTGTTGCAGCTATAACATCTCATTGCAGGTATACCTGCTTTTATTGTGCTTTGCTTTACTGTGCTTTGTAGGTATTAATTTTTGTTTTATTTTTATTTTTTATTTTTTACATATTGAAGATCGGCAGCAACTGTAGTCGAATGACTATTGGCACCATTTTTACAACATCATGTGCTCACTTTGTGTCATATCACTTTGGTAATTCTCGCCGTATTTCAAACTTTCCCATTATTATCTTGTCTGTTATGGTGATCTGTGATCAGTGATCTTTGATGTATTTATTAAAATTGTTCTGGGGCACCACAAACTATGCCCACATAAGATGGCAAACAATCAATAAATACTGTTCGTGTTCTCACTTCTCCACCAAAAGGCTGTTTATCATCTCTTTTCCTCTTCTCAGCCTCCATATTCCCTGAGACACAACAGTGTCGAAATTAGGCCAATTAATAACCCTACAATGTTGAAATTAGGCCAATTAATAACCATACAGTTAATAACCCTACAATTAAAAACTGTACAGGCCTCTAAGTGCTCAGGTGAAAAAAGAGTTACAAATCAAAAGTCAGAAATAATTAAGCTTAGTGACTTAGGCATGTCCAAAGTGGAGAGAGAATGAAAGCTAGTTCTCTTGCGTGAGACAGACAAGTTGTTAATGCAAAGGAAAAGTTATTAAGGGAAATTTAAAGTGCTACTTCAGTGAAGAAATGAAGGACAAGAAAGCAAAAACAACATTATTGCTGATGGAAAAATTTTTAGTGGTCCGATTAGATCATACTAGCCACAACATTCTCTTAAGCCAATGCCTCATCCAGAGCAAGGCCCTAGTTCTCTTCAATTGTATGAAGACTAAGAGAGGCGAGGAAGCTATAGAAGAAAAGTTTGAAGCCAATAGAGGTCAGTTCATGAAATTTAAAGAAAGAATCTGTCTCCATAGCATAAAAGTGCAAGGTGAAGTACCAAGTGCTGATGGAGAAGCTGCGGCAAGTTATCCAGAAGATCTAGATAAGATAATCGACGAAGGTGGCTACACTACAACAGATTTTCAGTGTAGATAAAACAAGAAGCAGATGCCATCTAGGAGTTTCATAGCTAGAGAGAAGTCAATGCCTGCTTCAAAACTTCAAAGGACAGGCTGAATTTCTTTGTAGGGGCTAATGCAGCTGGTGACTTTCAGTTGAAGTGAGTGCTGATTGATCATTTCAAAAATCCTGCAGCCTATAAGAATTATGCTAAATCTACTATGCCTGTGATCTATAAATGGAAGAACAAAGCCTGGATGACAGCACATCTGCTTACAGCATGGTTTATTGAGTGTTTTAGGCCCACTGCTGAGACCTACTACTCAGAAAAAAAGATTCTTTTCAAAATATTACAGCACATTGACCATGAACCTGGTCACCCAAAAGCTCTGATGGAGATGTTTTTAATACAAGGAGATTCATTTTGCTTTCATGCCTGCTAATACAACATCTATTTAGATCAAGGGGTCATTTTAACTTTGAAGTCTTACTATTTAAGAAATATATTTGGTAAGGCTATAGCTGCTGTAGGTAGTGATTGATTCCTCTGGTGGATCCAAGCAAAATCAATTGAAAACTATCTAAAAGGATTCATCATTCTAGATGCCATTAAGAACATTCTTGACTCATGAGAAGGGTTCAAAATATCAACATTAACAGAAGTTTGGAAGAAGTGAGTTCCAAACCTCACAGATGACTTGCAGGGGCTCAAGTCTTCCGCAGAGGAAAGAACTGAAGAAATGGTGGAAACAGCAAGAAAACTAGAATGAGAAGTGGAGCCTGAGGATGTGACCAAATCGCAGCAAATCGCTCATGATGAAATTTGAACGGATGAGGAGTTGCTTCTTATGAATGACCAAAGGAAGTCATTTCTTGAGATGGAGTCTATTCCTGTTAAAGATGCTGTGAACATTGTTGAAATGACAAGAAAAGATTTAGAAAGTCAAATTTAGTTGATAAAGCAGCAGCAGGGTTTGAGAGGACTGATTCAAATTTTGAAAGAAGTTCTACTGTGGGTAAAATACTACCAAATAGCATCTCATGCTATATAGAAATATTTAGTGAAAGAAGAATCAATTGATTCAGCACACTTCATTTTTGACTTATTTTCAGAAACTGCCACAGCTACCCCAATATTCAGCAACCACCACCCTGACCTGTCAGCGAGCAGCTGTCAACATGGAAGCAAGACCCTCCACCAGAAAAAAGATCACAACTTGCTGAAGGCTAAGATGATTGTTAGCAATTATTTATTTATTTGAGATGGACTCTTGCTCTGTCGCCCAGGCTGGAGTGCAGTGGTGAGATCTCGGCTCACTGCAAACTCCACCTCCTGGGTTCAAGCGATTCTCCTGCCTCAGCCTCCTGAGTAGCTGGGATTACAGGTGTGCACCACCACGCGCGCTACTTTTTGTGTTTTTAGTAGAGGTGAGGTTTCACCGTGTTGGTCAGGCTGGTCTCGTATACCTGACCTCATGATTTGTCCGCCTCAGCCTCCCAGAGTGCTGGGATTACAGGCATGAGCCACGGCGCCCAGCCGATTGTTAGCATTTTTAAATATATTTTAAATTAAGGTATGTACGTAGTTTTTAAATGTATAATGCTACTGCACACTTAATAGAGTACAGTATAGCATAAATGTAACTGTTATATGCACTGGGAACCCCCAAAATGCATGTGACTTGCTTTATTGCTTTACTGTGGTGGTCTGGAACCAATATTGCTTTACTGTGGTGGTCTGTAATATCTCCCAGGGATGCCTGTATACAAGCTTTCAAAACAGCCTTAAAAAAAAAAAAAAAAAGAAATTCTTCCTCCAAAAGTGATTTAGGTTTGGTTTTCCTTTAACATACAATAAATCTCTATAGATTTTATACCTATTTCTTACATATAAACATAGCATATATAATATATACAAAATATATAATATATTCCATCTATAAAAATATAAGCATAAACTTTATGAAGAAAAAAATAAGAAATCATTGGAGGAAAAATACTTGCTACTACTCAATTCTTCCCTATCATATTTCAGAAATCACTAATTACTCATGCTACTCTTTCAAACCCAAGAATTCAGGTAAGACCTAAGATTTATCCTCAAAACACACTTCCATTAAGCCAGTATCAATCTGTCAGATTTGGCACATGATATGAGACCATTTGCCATATGAGTTAGATGACTTTTCTCATAAGTTTTTGTTTTTTGAGATGGAGTCTCTCTCTGTTGCCCAGGCTAGAGTGCAATGACGTGATCTCGGCTTACTGAAACCTCTGCCTCCCAGGTTCAAGCAATTCTTCTACCTCAGCCTCCCAAGTAGCTGTGATTACAGGTGCCTACCACCATGCCCAGCTAATTTTTGTATTTTTAATACAGACGGGGTTTCACCACGTTGACCTGGCTGGTCTCAAACTCCTGACCTCAGGTGATCCACCCGCCTCGGCCTCCCAAAATGCTGGGATTACAGGCATGAGCCACCATGCCCAGCTGACCCTTCTCATAAGTTAACATGGTTTAGCAGTGTTTCACTTAGATTTTATTCATGCACAACAGAGAGCGGTAATTACACCAAAGCCCTCCACTGTGTGACACATCTGTCTCACAAGTGTTGCTTATCTTCAGAGGAGACTTAGGAAACCATAGACAACGTACAACAAACACACTCAACTCTTATTTCCCTAATGATCCAAATGCCCAAGTAACATGTAGTTAGAACATGTGTCAAGCAGAAAATTAATAAACTGGCAGATTTTAGACATTAACCAGAAAATATCATAATTTTAAATGGTGCAATTTAATATGTTATGACGATTTACTTCTGAATCAACACGTTGGTATTTCTTAGGTAACTATACAAATGGACCCTTGGGTTTTATTATACCAGAATTGCTTTAACAAAAAAGGTTTAAAATTTTAAAAGTGCTAGTCTTGAACTCAGTTTCTGGCTGACTTTTCTTCAAAAAAAACTGGAAGATTCACGTCAGTCACTAAAGAATGTAATTGAGGTTCAGCTACAAGAACACAACCATTTATTTGGTCAGGATTCTTCTTCATGGCAGAGCATATCCAAGTACCCAGAACCTAAGGAAGGAAAGCTTAGACTTAACCATGAAAAAATATGCAATTAATTTTGTATTATCTAACATGAAGGGCAAATAAGGTATATTTTAAAAATACATTTCAGGTCAGGCGCAGTGGCTCATGACTGTAATCTCAACACTTTGGGAGGCCAAGGTGGGGGTATCACTTGAGGCCAGGAGTTCAAGACCAGCTTGGCCAATATGGTGAAACCTCGTCTCTACCAAAAAAAAACCAAAAAACAAAAAATAAAAAAAAATCAGCTGGGCATGGTGGCATGTGCCTGTAATCCCAGCTACTCAGGAGGCTGAGGCAGGAGAATTGCCTGAACCCAGGAGGCGGAGGTTGCAGTGAGTTGAGATCCCGCCACTGTATTCCAGCCTGGGCAATAGAGCAAGGACTCCTTCTCCCAAAAATAAATAAACACACATTTTTGATATTTTACATAGTTTAAAATATATTAGCTCTATATTTTAAACATAAATTTTAATGAGTAGTCGCACACTTTAATAATTTATTATACTAACATTATTCAATCTTTTCCAGAAGACTGAAGGTTACTATCAGGTTATTGGTGATTATACGGTAACAGAATGGCGGTGATGAGGAAAAGTGAGACCTGTTAGGAAACGGTCAGCCTAAGGAAAAAAAGTGATAATTTGGGTCTGAGATAGGTTGATGCAATGGGATTAGAGTGGAGTGGACACATGTGAGCAAAGCCACAGGACTTAACAACGATGAGGTAAGGAAAGCAAGGATGGCAAGGGTATGGGAGAAAAGGAGGCATCAAGAATAAGGCTAATACTGCTTTTGACCCAGCAGCTCAACATTTCGGGCTGTACAGTACCAAATGTGAATTGTGAGACATACACACATGTTTTTACCATAATCTTTTGCTTTTGAAAACAATGTTTTAGAAAAAAGGTGGGTAAGTAGAGAAATGAGCAAGTAAGTTTGGGTGCATTTTTATAGTGAAATACTATGAAGTCATTAAGAAGAACGTACTAATGTAAAATTATTTAAATATATTTTCATTGAAAAAAACAAGATAGACTTCTAATTTCAACAAGACTATAGATATCAAAAAGTTTCAGAACAAAGAACACAAAAAAGCTGGGGTAAAGTAATATTGAATGCATGGCTGAGTTGGATAGAAAATAAGGAAAATTCTCTGAGGCCATAAAAACAAACAGGAGCAGGATTCCAAAGAGGTGCAAGCCAGAACTTCCTCAGGACATCGCTAAACCTAGCAACCTAGAACTTTAGTTTTTAAGGCCATATGGGAAATTTTTGAACAGGCCTCAAATCGTCCGACATAACCACAGAGACATCTTAAAAGAAGAAATTGAAAAGAATCACCCCACTAAATCAGGCATTAAGGAAATGCATCCACCTCACCAGTAGCTTTGGGGGAAGGGGAAACTCTCTCACATAGGAATCCCTTACCCATCATGGGCAACCACACTGCATTAGGCCCCAAACGCCCAATGTGTGATCCTAACATGCAAGGCAAGGATTTATTTTAAAATAGTTTGGGTTGGTAGTGCCTCCTGATGATTAGCCAAAACAAACATATGGAGAAACAGAAAAACATAAAAGATCCTGAGGGAAAATTTAGATTAGAAACAAAGAAGCAAAAATTGGACCCGAGTAGAGTTGTCAATGCAACAAGGGAATAGAGAAAGCAGAGGCCTCCAGGCGGCTGAAAGGAATTTACTTTGAACCTAGAATTTTATAATTAGCAAATCTATTGCTAAAAAACAGGCTTGATATAAAGATATGTTCACACAGACAAAAACAGAATTTACAATCCGGAGTTCACACCAAAGCAACTTTTCAAGGGTGTACTTGAGAAAGAAGAAAAATAATCTTAGAAGGCGGCATAATATGAAGGAATAGTGAGCCAAGACAATGGTATTGGTTAAATGTAAACCAAAAATGAATACATAAAATAATAATTCTATATTTTAGGGGTAACAGACAATATAAAATGAAACTAAAACACTGGAAAGGAATGGCATTCAAATGGTAAGATTAGCATTAAAACATGCTAAGAATTTGTTTAGAGGGAAGTAAAAACAGCAACTTTAGACTTTGCTAAATAATTGTGTTAACAGAAAAATATTGCTTGATCTCACTTATATGTGAAATCTCAACTAAAAACAAAACCAAAAAACTTGCATGCCTAGAAACAAAGAGTAGAAAAGGCAGGAGGTGGAGGGAAGTGGGGAGATGGAGGTGAAAGTGTACAAAATCGCAGCTATGTAGCATAAATATGTCCAGAGATCTGTCTATTCAGCAGTACACAGGGTGCGTGCGCGTGCACACACGGTACCTATGTGAAATGATAAAATATGTTAATTTGCTTGACGAATAATTTTACTCTGTGTTTATATATATATATATATAAACATTGTGTTGTACACTTTAAATATACACAATAAAAAGAACTGTGTCAATATATCCAAGATAGGCACTAAAAGAATAAAGATACAGAATATCACTTGAAAAGTAGTAGAGGGGAAAATTAAATGATATGAAAACCTCCAATCAATTTGTGTTAATTTGTTTACAAAGATGGCCAAAATATTTATTTGTATTCCTCTAATTATGCCCCTTTGTGAAATGACATTTCTACTCTTTCTGTCCATATTATACTAAAGGTACAACACAGTGCAAAATGACCAGAAAAAAGGAAGAAAAAAGAAACTACATAGCAAATAAATACATACATACATAAAACTGTCATTATTCGCAGTGATATCGCCAGAGAAATTTTTTAATATCTCAAATTGTTAAATTAATAAGAGGGCTTAACAAGTTTGTAAGATGTAAGCTATTTGAATTTTACATATCTTCAAAATAGAGTAAATGCAGTTTACAAAATACAAACAAAAATGAGGTCTTTAGAAATATTTGTACAAAAACATATGGAAATCTTAATGAAATTTTAAACTTTTTGGGCAGATATTAAAGGAAACATAAATAAACACTAGTCTGTACCATGTTCATAGATAGAAAGCCTTGATATCATAAAGATGTCAGTTCTACCCAGTCTGATCTATAGCCTGTGTAATTGTGTCAGAATCCTAATAGTTTTGTTTTGGTGGAACTTAACAACTTAATTCTTAAATTATATAGCAGAATAAACTACCAAGAGGAGGCATAAATCTAAAGAAGGTAGGAATCTAGCCTTTTCACATTTCAAGACTTATTAGAAGTCTACAGTAAATAGAATAGTAACAGGTTTTGTTATAAGGATAAATAATGGAAATAGGCTAATGGAATAGTATAGAGAAAACCCAAGAAAGCCTCATACATATATGGAAAGTTCCTACATGATAGAAATGGTACAGCATATTAGAGAGAAAACGGCTTATTCCTTACATGGCACTAAACAACTAAAACAGCATTATCCATATGACGTAAAATTAAATGTGATTCCTATTGCAGATCATAGATAAAAATGAATTTCAAATAGACTGAAGGATTAAATGTGAAAGCAAAACTATAAAATTTTCTTGGGAAAATAAAGGACATTATCTTTACCAACTTAGAGAAGGGAAGGATTTCTTTTTTTTTTTTTTTTTTTTTTTTGAGACTGAGTCTCGCTCTGTCACCCAGGCTAGAGTGCAGTGGCGTGATCTCGGCTCACTGCAACCTCTGCCTCCCAGGTTCACGCCATTCTTTTGCCTCAGCCTCCCGAGTAGCTGGGACTACAGGAGCCCACCACCACTCCCGGCTTATTTTTTATATTTTTAGTAGAGATGGGGTTTCACCGTGTTAGCCAGGATGGTCTCGATCTCCTGACCTCGTGATCCACCCACCTTGGCCTCCAAAGTGCTGGGATTACAGGCGTGAGCCACTGCCCCCCGCCGGATTTCTTAAATAAGGCAAAAAAATTATGCACCATCAAGAAAAAGGTTGATAGATATCACTACATAGAAATAAAGAACTTTTAAAATCAATAGTCAGCAAAAGAAAAATGAAAAGACAAGCTCCAAAGTGGGAGCAGGGCTTGGGAAAATTTATCTGACCACATTTTAATGTCCTCAATATATAAAGATGTCCTAATAACTCAATAAGTAAAAGACAAGTCATTAAAAAACAGCCAAAAGACTCACAATGGCATTACAGAGAAAAGGAAACAACTATAAATGTGTGAAAACACATGATTTCTCAAAAATAATCAGGAAAATGCAAGTGAAAACCTCAACGAAATACCACTTTAAAGAGTCAATTGGGTCAAAAACAACTAAAAAAAATAAAATCAAAGAACTCGGTGCTGGTAAGGATTTAACACAATTGGAACTCTGCCGATAGAAGTGCAGATGAGAACTAATCATTTTTAAAAACACTTTGACTTTACCTCCGAGGCAGAAGATTCACTTGTCCCACACCTCAGCAAACCTCCTAGGTTTGCAACACAAAAAGGGAGTATGGATGTGGATCAGGAATTGTGAACACAAATGTTCATATAAGTATTGTCCATAATCAATAAAACAGGGATAGAGGGCCGGGCGCGGTGGCTCACGCCTGTAATCCCAGCTCTTTGGGAGGTCGAGGCGGGCAGATCACCTGAGGTGGGGAGTTTGAGACCAGCCTGACCAACGTGGAGAAACCCCCCCTCTACTAAAAATGCAAAATTAGCCAGGTGTGGTGACTCATGCCTGTAATCCCAGCTACTTGGAAGGCTGAACTTGGAAGGCTGAGGCAGAGGAATCGCTTTAAACAGAGGCGGAGGTTGCGGTGAGCCGAGATCGTGCCATTGTACTCCAACCTGGGCAACAAGAGCGAAACTCCATCTCAAATTTAAAAAAAAAAAAAAGGATAGAATAGGATAGACAATCTGTGCTATTATAGTCCTACAATAGAATAAAAATTAATGAAATAGAACCACATGCAAAAACATGAAAGAATTTCAAAAACCACGTTCAGTGGAGAAAAAACTAAGTTGCAGCAGGGTATGCTTATATTTCCAGTCACACAAAGTTCCTAAAATTGTAAACAATACGTTGGTTATGATTTACATTTTTGGCAAAACTATAAAGAATAAACATCGGAATGATAAATAGAAAATTCAGGATAGTGGTTGTTTCTGAAGGGGACACAGGTATAAGATTGGAGAAAGATAAATGGAAGAGCTGACTGACCGGTATTGATCATGTTCTATTCTGTGAGCTGGGTGTATATGGCTATTGGGATACATCTTTATACCTCATTTAGGTTATAAGATATGCATATAGATCTATAATATAACCTTATTTTTGTTATATAAACTAGCATGTTTCCAGCTGAGGTTTTGCAAGGTAACACTCTGCCTTCTTGTTTCAGCTCTTACACTGTGAAAAGTGCCCTTGTCACCATCTATTTTGTGCCACATTTTCCACATCTTTATGGGATTTTTGGTAATTTCACTGTTTTAAATGGCCCCCAAGCAGAGTGCTCAGTTGTTAGCTAGTGTTCCTATGTGCAAGATGGCTGTGATATACCTTATGGAGAAAATACATGTGTTAAGTAAAGTTCATTAAGGCATGAGTAACAGTGTTGCCAGCCATGAGTTCAACATTAATGAATGAACAATGTATATTATTAGCTAAGGTGTCATTAAACATAAACACACATAAGACAAAGTTATGAGTGAATTAGTTGACAAGAATATGACCACAGGCTTGCAGGCACCTAAACTTGTATTTCCCCATAGAAGAATAGTTCCATATTCACTAATTCAGTGTTCGCAGTGACTCTATAAAACCTAACTATAGAAAATGAGGAGAATTGGCTGTCTCACATAAATAGTGTATGAATAATAAAATGTTTTATTTTTGTGTTCAACATAAAATGAATATAGTACAAAATTTTATGTTGTATGTATGTGTGTATCTAAAACATATACACTTGCATATAGTTATCTCTATATAGAAAATATAAAACAAAGAAATATAAAATATTTCATAATGGAAATGAAAAGGCAAAAGGCAGAAAGACATATAGAGCATGTAACCACTAGTAAAAACTATATAAATACAAATGTGTGTGTGTGTATATATATGTGTGTCTGTGTGTATATATATACACACACATATGTATGTATATATATGCACACGTATGTATGTATGTATATGTGTATATATATGTGTGTCTGTGTGTATATATATACACACACATATGTATGTATATATATGCACACGTATGTATGTATGTATATGTGTATATATCTATATCTATATATGCACATACATGCTTATCCATGCAAATTATCTCTGGAAGGCTAGAAATGAAATACAACATTGGTTAAAGTAGAGAACAGTAATAGTGAGAAGACTTACATTCCATTATGGTCCTGTATTTTATAATAGATACATGCATTATTTAAACATTCCCAGCACTCATTCATAGAGAAATGAAGAATGAGGCCAAGCTTTCTGTCTTAGACAATCACATGGGTGGTAGCACTACTTACAGTGTTAGAGAACACAAGCGGAGCAGAAGAACTGAGATGCTTGTGTTGAATTGACAGTCATTCCTTCATTCATTCATCTGTGAAGTAAATGTTTATTGGGAGTCTGCGACGTACTAGGTGCTGAAGACACAGCATGGAACACATTATGGAGATATTTAGTGTGAGGTGCCAGTGGGAGCATCCGACTGGAAATATGCAGGAGGCGGTGGTTAGGGACTCCCATATGGAATCGATTCCCTGTCACTCCTCAGAGGCTCTTTGATCAAGTCTCATCTACGGTTGTGGAATGAATGATTGTGGCTGCTGGAAATCTAACCCTCAGAGAGAAGTGGTGATATAAACTATTTTTGTTTCCAGAAGAATCACTTCAAATTCATGCTTCTCAAATGTTAAGAGTGGCAAGAAAGGTACCTTTAAAATGGAATCATCATTTGTCACTACAAGAGAGGAAAGAGTTTTGTCCGTCTGGTTCACGGTGTCCGCATGAATGTTGCACTAATACAAAAGCGTATTCATTTTGCAGTCCAGTTATTGGTGACTTTTGAGTTTAATTGATTATCTTACATGGGATTTCATCTGTATTTATGGTTTCTACCACCTGACACCACAAAACGGCCCTATCTGGGTCTCTTACTATATTACAATGATTTTTAAATTAAAATACTGCTCCAGCCTCCTTTAAAAGATCTTGGTTCCAGCCTGACTTTGCCATCTATTGTATTTCAGTCAAGCAATGAGCCCTCTGAGAATTTGTTTCCTCATCGTAAAATGAGGATAATAATGGCTGCTCAGACTGACCTAAAGAGTCACGAAAGTAAAATTGCCTGGAGTATAAATGGCTTTGCTTCATTCTTCAGCACAGCAGAAATAGCATTAAGGTTTAATAATTGTTATCCTATGACCTTTTTTTTCCCACTAGTGCACCAGAAATTTACTGAACCCCCCACTTTCCCCTAAAGCACAATTACCCACACAAAGTGGCAGAGGCAGGGAAGTCTCCCAGGCTTGCTCCTGCAGCCTGAGCCAGCATGACCAGCATGGGGACACCTGAGCCATCAGGCAGGAAGCAGGCTGGGGGGCAGAGGGGACAAAGGGGTTGGGGACAAGGTAGTACAAGGGCAGTGGCTTCTGGCTGGAAGTTCTGAACCCCTAGTATAAAGGGAGGGGAGAAACAGAGTTGGGGACGTGTAGAGCTGGCAGGACCTTGAGAGCTTCACAGGCAGGTGGGGGAGGACATACAGAATGAAAAGAGGGTAAAACCAGCCCTTAGGATGCAGCCTCTGTCCTGGGTCTCAGGGAACATTTGCACATGCATGCACACGCACGCACACGAGACAAGATGCTCCTGCTGCAAGGGGCAGGGTCCCAGAGACCTGCCCTCATTCAAGCTTAAAACTGGGAGGGGCCAAGCAAGGGCTTGGACGAAGTCCCATGATTTACCAGCAGGGCAAGTGTTTTGGTTTTTCTCTCCAAAAGGGAAATTTAAAAATCTACAGAAAATCACACCAAATTCATTAAAATTTAAAAATCTACAACAAATCACACCAAATTCACAATGGTAAAAAGCGGTTTGCTTAAAAGACAATTTGCTTCTTTTTCAACATTAAATGGTCAATGAAGGGAGATTACACCAAAAAATCAAACATACCTGTTTTCATTACTGGAAAAAGTGTCTTTATCATATTTTCAGAAAAACACAGAAGTACAACATGAAACATGCTCACCCTGCATAAAGAATATTCCTTTCTGAGAAAGATATTCTCTTCTACTAGGCTCTTCAGTCTTTGGCACAGTCAACAGCCACTGCTTTCAGCATCTCTTTGTTCTCAAGTATAGCATTACCAATACTACAGACTGTATATTTAAGAGCTGAGGTTTCATCATTCTTTTAATTATAAGCATGTGATTACAGATTTATGCATTTTCATTTTGGTTCTATTCCCCTAGTTCAGCCACAATTTACTATGCTTAAAGAAGAAATGTTTGGGAAAAGCGGGGAGGCGGGTAGAAGTATGAAGAGCAAGGTCAGTGAAAAATCCCATTAGCTATTTTTGATTTATAAAATCATGGTAGGGACTTTATGTAAAAGCATGGAGAGAGCCCCCACTCCTTTTTTTAAAGAAATTGCCATTCATCCAAAAAAACAGTTGAGCTTAAGTTTTAAAATACACACTTATCAAAATGTACCATATGACTAAGGGAGCACTGAAGGCCAACAAAGGAGAACCAGGCTTGTATTTCTCTCCCAGTGACTTCAACATGAGCAGATCCATATATAAAGGTCATCCATTCCACCTAAGGTTCTTTATAGTTCAGCGATAATATGTTTTTTGTGTGTATACTTTGTCCAAACTACAAATTAGATTCAAAAATAAAGAGAGAGAAAAAAGGAAGGAGTGTACTGAGTTCTGAGAGATATATTAGGAAAACATGAGTCCCCAGTGATCACATTTATCTCATCTTTCTATATCCCACATTTTCTGCTATTAAAAAAATAGAAAATTTAACACCAAATTGTAAATAAATGCTGAATGACCATCTGGAGATTAAGAATTAGTTGTCTTCATCTCACATGCACAAAAACAAAACCATCACATATGTTGGTTTTGCGACAGAAAAATCCTATGTCACATATGGTTTCTTGTCACATATGTGACAGAAAATAGAGATAAGCTAAGTTATAGTAACTCTGATTCAAGAGTTCAGTCCAACACGTATGCATCAGTTACAGTTGTCCCGCAATAAGAGCTGTGCACACTAGTTCTTCACTTCTATGTTAAAAGCTCAGAAAATCAGCGTCTGCTTATGCCAATCCCAGAAACATGTTCCGTCCACTGACCCCCACCTTCATATCCACAAGCCTAGCTGTTGTTCAGTCCTCATTTACCCAGTCCATTTGAACATGTGCTGCTATGAGTATTCGCATTTGCCCTTTTCTGAAACTCTTCCCAATTCTGGCTTCCGTAACAAATTCATCTGCCAATTTTCTTCCTATCTACCTGACTACTAACACCTGGTTTTCCTCTGTCCATCCTAAAAATGCTATTCTCCTCCAGAATACTATCCCTGGATCTAATTTTTCTTAACCTCCTAGGTGACCACATCCATGCAAGAATCACCTTGCTTATGATGTCCAATCCTCAATCTCAGATCTCTATGCCAAGTTCAGCTCATATACCCACATGTCCACTGGGCATGCCCACTTGCGTGTTTACATATGGGTAACCATGCCAACCATTCAAATCTTTCCGTCTATGCATATTCTCTATCTCAGTGATTAGTACCCCCACTCACCCAGATACTCAAACCTAAAATCTAGACACCTATCCATCATCTCCTCGTCCATTTGGTTCTGTCTTATTATTATCCCTCACAGCTATTCTGTCTTCAGTACCATCACTGCTATTCTCTCTTCAGCACCATCCCCACTTCCTTAGTCCAAGGCTTTCTCATTTCTTTACCAGCGTACCATAACGATCTTATAAGTGGTCTCCTGCTTCCAAGTCCAATCTGCCTCCACCGATCCCTTGATCACTGGGAAACTGTTGCTCCCCAAGAGCAACTTCTGCTCCCCAAGACTTCTGGATGAAGCCTAAGTCCCTCAGCCAGGAATACACGTTCGGCCTCATCACATGCTACTCCCTCCCACGACGCAACTACCAATTTGCTTGTGTCCATTTCTTCGTGTCGTGTTTTTTTCCTTCTTTAAACTCTTTTATATATATATATATATATATATATATATATATATATATATATACACATATATTTATTTATTATTATTATACTTTAAGTTCTAGGGTACATGTGCACAATGTGCAGGTTTGTTACATATGTATACATGTGCCATGTTGGTGTGCTGCACCCATTAACTTGTCATTTACATAAGGTATATCTCCTAATGCTATCCCTCCCCCCTCTCCCGACCCCACAACAGGCCCTGGTGTGTGATGTTCCCCTTCCTGTGTCCAAGAGTTCTCATTGTTCAATTTCCACCTATGAGTGAGAACATGCAGTGTTTGGTTTTTTGTCCTTGCGATAGTTTGCTGAGAATGATGGTTTCCAGCTTCATCCACGTCCCTACGAAGAACATGAACTCATCCTTTTTTATGGCTGCATAGTATTCCATGGTGTATATGTGCCACATTTTCTTAATCCAGTCTATCATTGTTGGACATTTGGGTTGGTTCCAAGTCTTTACTATTGTGAATAGTGCCGCAATAAACATACGTAAACTCTCTCACCCCCCAATCATTCCTCTAATAATCAAGTATTAACAGTCACTAAAAAGACTTGTCCTCGCCATAGGTGTATATTTAGCACCCTTCTTATGGTTTCACACTCTGTAAGATAGAGTACATCTGAGTGCTGTTGAAGGAATCAAGCCCAGAAGGAAAACGTACAACTGAAGTTGAGAGAGAAGGGGAGGTAACTCTAGGAGTGGATTCCTGGATAAAAATAGAAGTATCAGGTCCAGAGCATGTGGGTAAAGATCTGCCTTTAATGAGAGCAGGGTTTTCCTTCTCTTGCAGTGAAAGATGCACAGAAAATACAGATTCAGATGCTGTTGGTTTGCAGATGTGATGGTGGGTAAGTGTGGGAGCTTCTGTATAATCATGTAACTGTTTCTCATCGAGGTATAAGGTGAGGTTATCATTAGAGTCATCGGTAAATGGAACAGGAAGATTGCAAAGGTTTGAGAAGGGATGATATAAACAAATCTCAGAAATAGAGAAAGCTAAATTTGCAAGGGAAATCTAGTAACATTGTTGAGGAAAAAAACTGAGTTGTCAGTGGGTTTATGAATTTAACGTGATACTAGTCGGTGTCCTTTTAAGGACCTTCCTGCATACAAAAATGATCAGCTGCTCAATATTGTGGTGCAAATATGGAGAAAGCAAAGAGATGAGCTTAACAAGGGTTGCTAGACCTATGCCTGGTGAGCAAGACAGTGTATGCTATACTGTGCATTGTTCTAGGTACAGGGGTACGGCAAGAAGCAAAGCAAAACTGCCTTCTTAATGAAGCTTATACTATTGATGGACAAATAAATGATGCAGTTGCAGACAGTGATAAGTGTTATGAAGAATATAAAGCCAGGTGGCCGTCAGAACAATTTTTGAGTGAGTATATTCTCAATTCTCTCAAGGAGGGTACATATCTAGCACCTTTACAAACAATGAATGCCTTATGACAGTAGGGCTAAATTCTCTAAATCTGCCTATTTTAGGGCAGAGGTGAGAGATGTTCCCAGTGAGGAGGTGTTTAAACATAGACCATGAAATCTTGGCTTCAGTAGAACTAGGAAGATAGGGAGGGAAAATTGAATGGGTTGCAGGGCTAGATGAATTCCGTAAGACTCTTAGAGTGTGGACCACAGACCACACAATAGCTGAATTACAGGGATAAGAGATGTTTCTATTATACAGAGGGAGCTAATGCAATAAAGACATTTGGGCAGTGTTGGGCATAGCTTCTTGAATTGTTCAAGAGATTTTATATTTTGAGGATGAGGCACATTAAAAAAGACCTTGCTTGTATATACAAAAATATAATCATACCCATATAAATGAATCTAAGCACAGAGGCTGATGTAAGAATACTATTATTGATGAAAGCCTAATTATAAGCAAAGATTTGGCATTTATTTGTGCTAAGATGGCATTTTCTTTAGTTTATAATTTTAATTTTAGAATCATGTCCTGATAAACTAGAAGAAACATGGGGGCAAAGGAATTGGCTATCTTCTTAAAAATTTACCTTTATTTTAAATTTTTGAGACAGAGTCTTGCTCTGTTGCCCAGGCTGGAGTGCAGTGGCACAATCTCGGCTCACTGCAACCTCTGCCTCCCGGGTGCAAGTGATTCTCATGCCTCAGTCTCCTGAGTAGCTGGGATTACAGGTGTGCACCACCACACCCGGCTAACTTTTGTATTTTTAGTAGAGATGGGGTTTCAGGCTGGTCTCGAACTCCTGGCCTCATGTGACCTGCGCACCTCAGCCTCCCAAAGTGCCGGGATTATGGGAGTGAGCCACTGGGCCTGGCCTTAAAAATGTATTTTAAGGGAAATAATATGGCTAGGCTTTGTGTCCCCACCCAAATCTCATCTTGAACTGTAATCCCCATAATCCATGTGTCATGGGAGAGACGAGGTGGAGGTAATTGAATCATGGGGGCCATTTCTCCATGCCGTTCTTATGATAGGGAGTGAGTTCTCACGAGATCTAATGGTTTCATAAGGGGCTCTTCCCCCTTCCCTCAGCACTTCTCCTGCCTGCCACCTTGTAAAGAAGATGCCTTGCTTCCCCTTCGCCTTCTGCCATGATTGTAAGTTTCCTGAGGCCTCCCCAGACGTGCTGAAGTGTGAGTCAATTAAAGATCTTTTCTTTATAAATTACCCAGTCTCAGGCAATTCTTTATAGCAGTGTGAAAATGGACTAGAACAGGAAACATATTCGGAACTCCACTGTTTCCCTACATGTTCTTGAAAACAGCTTTGAGAGTGACTATGTTTAAAGTGAGACTTCTATTCTTTCATATTGTTGACACACTTGATCTACATACATTTGATGTACATAGGTTTTTTTCCAAAAAATTTTCTGTTGTTTATGTTGTTTTTATCACCTGTCTTCCAGGTAATGCAGAATGTAAGGTCCATTAAGACGCATACATTTTCTTATTCACTGCTGTAAGTCATACCCAACAGAATAGCTGGGCATACTGAAAGCATTAAAAGAATTTTTAAATGAACAAAGAAACAGAAAACTCGAACAGATGCAAAGAAGAAATAAAAAGGCAACTGAAAGTAGTGGAAGAGGTGCCATGAAGACTCATCATGTTTAACTTAATGGCAAAAAGGTGAAGCATTTCCTACTTCTAAGAATACAGTATATAGGTTAGTATCCTTACAACATTGTTTTCATTTAACATGGAGAAGTATTAAAAAAAAAGTTAATATCTGAGTTTCATAACAAGGAGGTTAAAAGATCTTCCTGGCTGGGCTCGGTGGCCCACGCCTGTAATCCCAGCACTTTGGGAGGCCGAAGAGGCTGGATCACAAGCTCAGGAGTTCAAGACCAGCCTGGCCAACAGAGTGAAAACCCGTCTCTACTAAAAATACAAAAAATTAGCCGGGCGTGGTGGCGGGTGCCTGTAATTGCAGCTACTCGGGAGGCTGAGGCAGGAGAATCACTTGAACCTGGGAGGTGGAGGTTGCAGCCAGCTGAGATCACACCACTGGACATCAGCCCGGTAACAGTGCGAGACTCCGTCTCAAAAAAAAAAAAAAAACCCGTAAGGTTGTTAAAATCTGAAGAGATACTTACTTACACAGTTAGTATGACTGGGCAATCCCGTCTTTCCTACCAGGGAACTACTAGACAAATCCTAAACACCTCTAACTGCCTTTCAAATCATTATAAATGACTACCAGAGATATCATATTCGGCTGATCATCTGTGTTTTGAAAGCACAATTCCTAAATTCCAAATGTGTTGCAAAACATAATTTCACTATTCAGTATGGAAAACACTAGTCTCAATGCCTGGTCTATAAATTGCAGATTCAAAATATTATATAATAAATCACATATAATGTGACCAAGAATAAGAGTGACATTTGTTTATATTTTGGATGTGAAATCCAGCAAATTGCTTGATTGCTTTTTTGAATAAATCCTCCTAGGATTAAGGATTCCTTTCTTCTTATAAGACAAAAATGAATATTCTATGCTTTTACCTATATTATTTCCTGTTACATTTTTAAAAAATGTGCTACATATTCTTGATTCCACAACCCCACTAGATGGAAAAAGCATGATTCACTTTTATTCACTACTAAGAGTGGGATGAGTTTACAATGTTCCCTAATATTTACTACAGGACTAATGATTTCGGTTAAGAATCAATGAGTAGATTTTCCACTCTAAGTTATGAAGACCTCAGAATTTGAAAATGACATTCAACGTGATTTATGAATTTCACCAGAGTTCTGTTTCAATCTTCACAATTATCTTAAATGATTAAATAGTATTTTCCCATCTTAAAAAAGCTGTGCCTAACATTTAATCAAATTGTAGTATGACTAATTCATTGTTAAATCATCATTAATGACACTTGAACAACCTATAACAAAATAAAGTATGGAGCCAATCTTCAGAGTGTTCTTGGCCTCAGTCTCAAGCCATGTCAGCCTCTAGGAGAATTCCTGAAACAGCAAGAACTTTCCCAGAGCATGGCATGATATAAATCTGATCTTTAGAAGAGATGGAACATTCCAAAGTTGAAATATTTTGAGTAGTAAATGCTTTGATATAATTATAAGTTTCAGTGATTTCAAACATCAAGACTTAATAGATGCTTTCTTTTCCTGTTAAATTTTTTTCTTTATTATCTTCTAAAATTTTCCATCCCTGCCTATCTCCTAGAAATGCAGGAAGAGTCCATGAGATAATATTTATAATGTTTTTAAGCTCCCTGGAAGACAGGTGTTGAATATCCAGAGGTATTGGCGTATCCCATTAAAAAAACTGCAAATAATGCTCTGAAGATCCGAACAACATCAATATAGTTTGTTCCCTGGGTACAATGTTTTGACAAGCCAAATAAATACCAGGTTGAAATGAGCTCATCAGTACAATTAAAATGTAAAATAATACTATCTAATTTTCTATCACAAAAAGCACAGAATTGTTAATGTCTTTTAAAAGATGAGCTATTTTAACTAATATCTAGTGTATATACTGTCATGCAAGCAAACAAACATTAATAATGAGCATTATCCACAAATAGCATGTTTATCAAATTGCTAGCCTCTTACAACCCTGTGACTCATAATTCAACTTAATCTGTTTTTCTGTAATGTCAAAATAAGCCCTTTTAAAGCAATATGTATTTTTTAAACAATGCCTTGTAGCTTTTTTTTTTTTTTTTTTTTTTTTTTTTTTTTTTTGCTGAAAGGGGAGAAAAACATAACACATCTCTTTGGAATTTACCTTGAATAATAAATTGTTCCATGTTTTCCTTGAAAGGCTGCATATGCTCTTTTGAGGAGACCTGGTATACTTTCCCTGCTTCAACTTCACAGGCTGAAATTAGACAGAACATTATTTAGAGTGTCACACTGTTAGTGGAGCATTAAGGCAATTTTGAAAACATCTTAGCTAATGTTAGAAAATTCTGTTAACTCCCCTAATCAGCATATGTTCTGCACACATTTTGGAAACATCCAAATACGGACATGAGAAGCCGATGATCAAGGCTTCCTTTTAGAGGGCTGTAAAAAGAAATTATGCAGAATTTATAATCTCAGTTTGATTATTCCCAAACCAATCAGTTGGGCATGTTATATAACCTCTAAATCTCAGTCTCTTCATCTGTAAAATGGGCATGATAGCAGAGCCTGCCTCACTGTGCAGTTATAAGGATCAGATCTGTGAAGAGACGTGAAGTGTTAGAATAATGCCCGGCACAGAGTAAAGCAATATGTAACTATTTTCTATCATCATCACCATCATCATCAGTATCAACTGACTTATAATAAAAGTTTATTCCTAAAGACCAGATTTCTGAAAAATAATAAATAATAACATGGGTGGTAATGTTAGTATAGCATCCAATAATTGTAGAGCATCTATTACATGTCAGATGCATTTTATCCATTATTTAACATAATCCTTAGAATGAAGCCCATAAAGTAGACTTATTACCTCCTTTTATAGCTGAGGAAGTTAAGGCTCAAATAAGGCACTAATTTGCCCAAGAGTCCACAGATAATATGCAGCAAATTCATAACTGAAATCCTGATCTAACACCAAAGTTTATCCTCTTTTCATGCCTGTGGCATCATAAATGTCTTAGGTAGTCTACAGATTCCATTTGGGTTAATATTGAGAAGTACCTCTAAGAAGATTCTGAAGAAATGTCTGCCATTTTGGTAATAGCAAGAAACCGGAGCCAGTAAGGAAGTAATTCAACAATGAAAAGTACATATTTAAACACAAAACTTTGGATAGAACACATCTGATGCAAAAAAAAACAACAACGACAACAACAAAAAAATCCCCAAAACCTCTCACTACAGTTCTTAAGGTAAGGTTGCCATTTCTCCCAGGAGACTTTGTCATTGCATTTCTAATATATTTTCTTTCTTTTATAAAGCTACAGTGTCCTCTTTTTTCCCTTCCAGGTCATTAGTTTATCTAAGCATGGGAATCTAGGAAGGCTGTATTATTAGTGCACATCCTTCCCAGCAAATGTGGATGACTTTGGGCTTAGTAAAATCTAAGATCAGCGTAGGCAGATCCAGGGTTCTCTCTGCCCGTCTGCTTCTCATCCCTCACCTGTGCCCAGGTAGCCTCTTGCAGGCTGGATGCTGGAGAATTTCTAACCTGTATCTATAGCCCATGTATTTCATAGCTCCAGACTCAACATATGAAACTTCCACCAGTACAGAATTCCTCACAGACTTCTCTAAACCTGCCACCTCCCTTATTCTCCCTTCATTGGTGGTGCCACCACCTGACCTACATAACTTGAGCCAAAACAGGAGACTTATTCTCAACCCCCTCTCTTTATTCCAACATCCTGTTGTTTTTGCCTCCATTCTTCAGTTGGCCCTATCCTCTCCATTCCTGTTCTATGCTGGTACAAATGCCTTCATTTTTCCTACTGAGGCTACTGTGAAAACCTCTTACCCTTGGCTTCTCATCTCCAGTCTTCCACAGATCCATGCTCCTCCTCACAGCCTTAAAAAGCCATCCAGAAGAGACCCAACCGCTTAACCTGAAACTGTTCAGTGACCTCTGCCCTCTCAGCTACACCCTGAATACAGGAAGAATTGCAAAGCCTACACCATGATTTGTAGCACTCGCTACAATGTAGACCTTGCCAACTTTTAAACCATCCATCTCCCTCTAGTCCTGATATCTTCTGCAGACTCAATGCAAATGTTAATCTCCAGATGTAACTGCCCCTGAACAGCATTCCCTGACCTCCCCACAGGGCCTGCTTTTCTCCATTCCCTGCCACTTGTCTCCAAGCAGGATGAGGCGTCCTTCTTTGGTGATTCCAGGGCATCTTGTGCATACAGAGTTAAGGCTGTCATGTACTGAGTACTTTTTATGTGCCAGGGAGCACATTAAGCATGTTACCTGTACTGTCCCATTCAATCCTCATAAAACCCTTTGAAGTAGATGATTAATATGCTTACTTTACATCAGCGAAAAATGAACTACAAAGAGATTGCCCACATTTCTATAGTTCACAAGTTGAGGAGGTGGGATTCAATATCAACTACCACACTATATTAAAGTTATTTGTAACTATGTGTCTTCTGCCCCACTAGACTGAGCTACTTGAAAGGAAATCCATCTTATTTCCATTTGTGCCTGACTTAGGCAATAAATTGCTGTTGGATGGGTTAGTTGCTGTATAAATAGTTACTTAAGTGGAAATAACATTCTAGATGTTGGAATCTAGCAGACAGGGTTTAAATTCCAGGTCACCCATCCACTGAATGTGCCTTACGATTTGGGGCTAATTACCTAACATTTTTGGATCTTAGTTGCATTATATGGTAGTGAGTTTAATGAATTCTCTAACGTTAGTGTGATGATCAGCCACTATGAGTGTAAAATGCCTGAAACTGACTTTGTGCTGGCTAAGTACATGCACAAAAAACAGTAGCTATTGCTGCTATTGTTTTTATAAGACCAAGTGGAGTTCAGCCTAAGGAAGTGTAAGATAAAATACAGTAGCTGTTTTCAAAGAGCTGAAGTGTGGTCTCATGAATGACCGGGTGTTGACATTCTCTGTGTTGATCTCAAGGAAGGAGGAAGTTGCATGAGTAGAAGTTAGAGAGAGATGTTAGTTCTACCTAACAGGGATGGCTAGTGTTTACAGAACTCCTACAGTGACGTAACCTGCCTTCTGAGGGGGTGAGCCCTTTGTCACTGGGATTATTCAGAAAGTAGCTGACTGCTTGTCAGAAATGTAGAAAGGGATGGGTCAGATGACAAGACATCCGTAGTCAACTTCCTGTGGGCTGTATCATTTACGACAGCCTCACGTGGCTGGAAATTCTGCTCTTTAACAATGTTTCCAGATGCATATTAAGGATATACTTAAATCATGTCATAAATTTGAGAGTTTCCTAAAACTGTGTAAGGATACTGAATATATGGAAGACAAGTTACATCACTTAAAAGAAATGAGGCCGAGATTTAACAGCCCTTATCATTTCAGTGGGTTATTTCTAGCAACGTCAGGTGACACAGTGTTCCCAAAAGTCTCTGAGCAGTTTGTTTTTTTTAAATTTTTTTTGAGACAAAGTCTTGCTCTGTTGCCCAGCCTGGAGTGCAGTGGCACGATCTTGACTCACTGCAACCTCCATCTCCCGGTTCAAGCGATTCTTGTGCCTTGGCCTCCCGAGTAGCTGGGATTACAGGCGCCTGCCACCACGCCCTGTTAATTTTTGTATTTTTAGTAGAGAGAGGGTTTCATCACATTGGCCAGGGTGTTCTTGAACTCCTGACCTCAGGTGATCCACCTGCTTTGGCCTCCCAAAGTGCTGAGATTACTACCGGCCTCTGAGCAGTTTCTAACGTACACATGACACAGATATCGATCAACTATCTACTGATTCAAGGGACTGCTCTAGGTGCTGAAGACTGCCACGAACAGAACTGACAAAACCCCTGTCCTCAGCGAGCTTGTCTTCTACTACATTACAGTCTTCAAGTAGTGACTTTTCAATCCCAATGAGGAAAGTAAAATCCTATTAGCCTCATGTTTAATAACGTAGGCTAGCAGGGAAAAAAAAATCTAATCTCTCACCTTGACTGATTTGCAAAACCTAAAAGCCAGAGGCAAGGAAGGCTAATATTTTCATTACTGGTCACAATTATTTCATTTTCCATTTTTAAGTTAAAAAGTAGAAGTAATAACTGTCCTTTTATTCATGACATCATACACATCCATGATATCATACACATCCATGATATCATACACATCCATGACATCATACACACCCATGACATCATACAGTGTCTTGGGGTCTAGGATCCTGTATGAACACGCTAACACTAGAAACTTCCAGAATCATCTACTGGGTCTGGTGACTTAAAGGAGGACTTCATTAGCTGGGGAAGTAGAGAAAGATCACAGACTGGCTGTGACAAAGTCTTCTACATGGTGACAACCATCCTCTGGGTCTTCATTTTTACTCTAATGTTGAAACAATAGAACATTCAACAGATAAGAAAATGCATGCTATAATAATTTTCCTTATTTTAAATTAATTTTCACTTAATTTTATCGATGTCCTTGGGCCATTCATATGAACTGTATTTGTAACATCAATGCATGCAAAAACTATTTTTTCTATTTCTTCTACCTTTTCCCCCTAATTTATAGAATTTCCTGTGCACACTGGGAAACATGTAGAATTTCAGCTCTAGAAAAACTGTAAAGTCATTTACTGGCAGCCTCACCTCATCTACAGTCCTCCTTCTAGAAGGTCATGAAACGCACCTGTCCAGTGTCTGGGTGTTTCAAGTCATGTGCATTCTTATTGCTTCTGGGCAGCTTTTTCCTTACTAAGCAGCTCAAAATATTAGAATTCCCAACTGTATACTGAGTAAATATCTCTCTACAGTGCACCCCCTGCGGAATGACATGTCTGGAGGTTGCTTTAAAATATGCTGGATATAGTCACACAAATACTTGTGCCATTACAAAGTAAAAAGATGTTTTTAAAAGTCCACCACTGATAGTTCAGGTATTTAATGAGTCACAGAACAAGTCTGCTTGTTTTGAGGATAGATTTCTTCTCTACTCTCATCTCCTATGAGACAGTCTCCATTTACTCACTTTGCTGTATTACCAGTACTTAGAATAATCTCCCACAGGCAATATGCACTCAACAGTTCTTTGTGGAATGAATAAATAATTTCATTGTATCTTCCTGTCATAGTGAGCTTCTTGTTTATCTGCAAAATGTCTTGCTTATGCACATTTCTCCAACCCTTCCCCATGCTATTCACCCACCAGACATACTCTCACCACTTAATGACCAGTTTTGAACTTCTACTTATCCATTCCCAGAGTCTGGTTCAACTGTTACCTCAAGACAAGAGGGTCAATCTCCCCTCAACTTTGCATCTCCCTTTTCTACAGAACACGTACAAATGATATAGGATAGAATCAAAGCACTGGTTAAACGGATCTGGATGCAAGTCCAGTTCTTCTATTAGCTCTGTAATCTTGGGCTAGCTACTTAAATTATCTCAGCCTCAACTGGAAGTTGAACTTAAAGTGCTAAGCTGGCTGTTAGAAAACTCTTTTAAAAATAAAAAAGCTGTTAATTATATTATTTCATTGAATGTATTTGTTTGTGTATCTTTGTTTCTGATTATAATTTGCATTCCTTGAAGCCAAGGGCTATCCTATTCACCTCTGTGTGTCAAGTGTCTGAAATGCAGAGGAAGTACTAAGACCCTGTATGAAAGAAAGTGCTTTCAATGATGCCCATAATCAAGGCCAAGGCTTTCCTTAATAGGGATATTAAGTCTCCAGTGGTCACTGAGGTAAACCACCAAAACTCACATCCAAATTTCCAAAGCTCAGTGTGATATAAAACCTGTACAGTTATTTCTTGGTAATTGTTGCTTTACTTATTCACTATATTAAGAAGGAAGAGCCTGTTGGATAAATGTAAAAATAGAATGTCACGTTCTAGAGTTTCTACATTCATAACTCTCATATATTTTGTACATACACAATGCCACATATAAATATGCTCAATGTGCTTACATATAAGGAATATATTTAGAAGACTGGACACCATTCTTCTCTTAACTGTAGCACATCAAGTTGCACAACATATCATCTTGGCTATTACTTATCATCCTCAAAATTGGTATGTGACTATGTAAATAAAAAAAAAAAATACCGAACACTACAATCTCACAAACTTGAAGGGTCATTTAGAAACATTATTAAAAACAGAACAAAGATAGAGTTCCTGGAAAACTTGCATTGCAGTCAAATCCAAATATTAAAAAACATTTGTTAGGAGACTGTTGGCATAACCGAGTAATTCCAATCATCTCAACTTTTGTTTAATTTAAAGACTTCTCTGAGTCAAAAAGATTTTATATCATGTTGAAGGGCTAGTATCAGAAAGCATGCATTAGGTTTCCAAATACAAAGAATAACCCAGCCAGAGGAAAGAAAGAAAAATGTCAGACATTCCCACCAGACAATGGGTTCCAATACATCCATGCCATCCACAGAGTGGCACGTTGTGGGGCAAACACCAGTTTATCACTGTCAGATTAAAGCAAGGACATGACATGCCACTCCCTGGAATGAACCATGATCATGAAGAGTCTGGCTATTTTTTTTTTGAGTAGGGAATTGGAATAATTTATACAAGTCTACAAGTTCAATCAATGTTAATCACAGCTTAGAGTTGCTGCTTTTCTGTGAGCTTCCAGAAAGTTTCATTGGCATCTACAAACCAGCCTCAGCAAGTAGGAAGGAAGTCACATAACAGATACAAAGGAAAAGAAATAACTGTAATCAGATCAGAAAGCTTTCTTCTAAAATCCAACTGTTTCCCACGTAAGCCTGGTTTGTACATTATTCTGGGTTCAGTTTTAGGAAACAGACACCATTGTAGCCACTTAAAGCAGATCAATGTAGGCAGCAAGATGCTTGCAAAGTAGGTGTAAGTGCACAGACATTGGGCTCTACACTTGGTCTCCAAAAATGACTCCCAGAACAAAAACTATAAAATCAGCCCACCAGGGGCATGCTATATATGGCACAGTCAGGACCTATGCTGTGTGGTAGGTACCACAGGCTCGACTTTTGGTTTTAGACTCAAACCTTACTTGTTAAGTCTGCACCATCAAATCAGTCATTGCCCTGTGCACCAACTCTGCCTCTCAATATCCACAGAGCTAGTGACCGGACACTGGGAAAATAATTTGAGAAAACCCAGTCACTCCATGTAGTGAGGCAAACAAACAAGCAAAACAAAACAAACAAAAAACATAGAAACAGTAAAAACATTGATGTCTGGCCTCACTACCTTTCACAAGTACTGTATATGTACTGACAAAAGCGAGAGTTAAATTCAGACAAGGGAAGATACAGACACAAGAAATATTTAGGGGGTAAAATTTGCAGAGCTTGGTAATTGAACGGAAGGTCAGTGCTCCTTCATGAAGATGTAAACTTCAGAATCAACTGGGGACTCTTTTCAGAATGTACCTGACAGGGCTCCAACCTAAGTCATTTTGAAAAGTGATCTCTTTCCATCTCACGCCAGTCAGAATGGCTTTTCTTAAAAAGTCAAAAAAAAAAAAAAAATAGGCTGGGCGCGGTGGCTCATGCCTGTAATCCCAGAACTTTGGGAGGCCAAGGTGGGCGGATAACCTGAGGTCAGGAGTTCGAGACCAACCTGGTCAACATGGCGAAACCCTGTATCTACTAAAAATACAAAATATTAGCTGGGCATGGTGGCGGGTGCCTGTAATCCCAGCTATTTGAGAGGCTGAGTCACGAGAATCACTTGAACCCGGGAGGCAGAGGTTGCAGTGAGCCGAGACCATGCCATTGCACTCTAGCCTGGGTGACAGAGTGAGACTCTATCTCCAAAAAAAAAAAAAAAGTAAAAAAAACAACATATACTGGCAAGGCTGTAGAGGAAATGAAATGCTTATACATTGTTGATGAGGATGTAAATTAGTCCAGCCACTGTGGAGAGTAGCTTGAAGACTTCTTAAACAACTAAGAGTTGAACTAGCATTCGATCCAGCAATCCAATTACTGCGTATATATGCCCAAAGGAAAATAAATTGTTCTACCAAAAGAACACATGCATTTGTATGTTCATTGTTGTGCTAGTCAGAATAGCAAAAACATGGAAGCAACCAGGGTGCCTGCCCATCAACAGTGGAATGAATAAAGAAAATATGGTACATATACACCATGGAATACTATGCAGCCATGAAACAGAACAAAATCATGTCCTTTGCAACAACATGGATGCAGCTAGAGGCCATTATCCTAAATGAACTAATGCAGAAACAGAAAACCAAATACCACATGTTCTCACTTACAAGTGGGAGCTAAACATTGGGTATACACAGACATAAAGATGAGCGCGATCAACGCTGGGGTCTATTAGAGTGGGGAGAGACAGAGGGGGAAAGAGCTGAAAAACTACCTGTTGGGTACTATGCTTACTACCTGAGTGAGGGGATCATTCCTACCCCAAACCTTAGCATCTTTGTAACAAAAAGGCACATGTACCCCCGATTCTAAAATAAAAGTTGAAGAAAACCCCAAGATATAAAGTAAAAAAGAAAAGTAATCTCCACGACAAGGCTCATAGAAAGCTCACATGGAGATTCTAATGTGCGTTGATGAGTGCTGTCGGGAGGAGAACAGAGGATTCCGAATGGATATAGAGTCTGGGTGGCTTTGAGATGGAGATGGAGGAAGAAGAGTAGGTTTCAGAGGAATGAAAATGCATTTGGTTTTGAACTCACTAGGTTTCAGATGTCAGTGGAACGTCCAGCTGTAGTTTTCAGGTAGTTACATGATTCTTTGCTAACCCCAACATTTTCACTTTATTCCCCTGGCCGTACGGATGGTATACGCTTTCCACATTTTCCTCAGCATCCTCTTTCTGCATTTAACATCCTTCAACGTGTGTTTAACTTCATTCTCTATGTTAAATTACTGCTATTAAAATAGTAAATGTGGTTTTTGTTTCCCCAACTTCACACAGAAATAGTAGAAGCAGTAACCAAAATTAATGGGTTATGTTTCTCTAAGTACTCAACAGCTTTCTGACACTGGAAATTATTTCTAATTTATTAATTGCTTATACATAATATCTGTTTGAATTGTTGACCATAAAATATGCCAGTTTCTCAGATTGTTTTTCCCAAATAAGTTTTATATTATTAGCACCATCATGCGCAAATATATAAAGTCTTAAACATAGTTTGTTCTTTAAATTTCTTATGTTCTTTAATGATGCTTATTTTTGAATATGCTGTTATATAATTTCTTCATAAAGTATAGGAAAGGCTGAGCAGTCACATATTTTAAATTTGTGGGACTAAATATCAACTCAAATTCAAACATATTCCTGACTGGTTGCCTATTTTTCTTTCCTCTTGTATACGATTATTAAAGAAGTACTACGGAGCATACATAACATGTACGTTACATGTAAAGACTAAATGAATATTCACCTACTACATTTCCAGTTTAAGAAGCAGAACATAGCCAATGCTTTGGAAAAATTCAGTGTGTTTCTCTCTGTCCCTCTCTCAGGCCCAGAGGTAACTACAACCTTTAACTTTGTGTTTCTCATCCCCCGGCTATCCCTAAACAAGTGAAGTTGCCCTCCCTTATCCATGGGTTCGCTTCCTGTGGTTTCAGTTACCAATGGTTAAGCACAGTCGGAAAATATTACCGCATTTTAAGAGGGAGAGAGAGAGAGATACCACATTTGTATAACTTTTGTATACAAATAATATTTGTATACAACATTTGTATAACTGTTATTACAGTATATTGTTATAATTATTTTTATTATTATTATTAATTTCTTACTGAACCTAATTTATAAATTAAGTTTTATCATAGGTATGTATGCATAAGAAAAACATAGTACATATAGAGTTTGGTACTATCCGTGGCTTGAGGCATTCATTGGGGGTCTTACTCCCCACAGATAAGGGGAGACTACTGTACTTGTCTATATATTTGAACTTTAAAAACTGAAATCATACTGTTCATATTTTTCCTACAACTTGCTTTTCCTCAAGCTTGTGTTAATAAGATTTACCCATTTTTAATGCAGGTAAATACAGTTCAATCAGTTTGACAGTTCAACCGATGTCCTTTGAAAGAAGATACCATAATTCACTCAGCTATTATTTTGTTGAAAAATATCTGAGGGTTTTGGTGCTGTTGCTATCAATATGAATGCCATTTTTATTTCACCTGGTCACCTGTGCACTGGAGTATATATCTAGGGGCCAAGTGCTGGGTCAGAGTATAGACATTTTTGACTTAATAAGACAGTGCCATAGCCAGGTGTGGTGGCTCACGCCTGTAATCCCAGCACTTTGGGAGGCCGAGGCAGGTGGATCACTTGAGGCCAGGAGTTCGAGTCCAGCCTGGCCAACACAGCGAAACCCTGTCTCTACTAAAAATACAAAAATTAGCCGGTCATGGTGGTGCATGCTGTAATCAGCACCTGTAATCCCAGCTACTTGGGAGGATAAGACAAGAGAATTGCTTCAACCCAGGAGGCAGAGGTTGCAGTGAGTCGAGATCAGGCCACTGCACTCCAGCCTGGGCGACAGAGCAAGACTCTGTCTCAAAAACAAAAACAACAAAAAAAGATATTGCCAGATGGTTTCTCATGGGATCGAATCAATTTTCATTTCTATCATCAGTGTAAAAGCGTTCTCACCAATCTACATCTTTGCCAATATTTCACATTCTCTGACTTTTAACAGTTTTAAAAAGAATACCAATCACCAGACATACTGACCAAGATGAAATTCTCAGCATGATTTGAAAAGTTATTGACATTTACACTCTCATATTTAACATGTTGTCAGGCACTGCTGCAAATCACTGTTTATGTGGCTATCAGTGAATCTTTGTCAAGGTTCTCCTGTAGGGCAAGTTCATCAGACAGCCTTGCTGAAGAAGAATTATTTTAGCTAAGTATATTCATTTTAGCTGAATCATCTAGAAGAATGAGCAGTTTGCCAATTAAAAATGGAAAAAGAAATGACTCAGTTATGAGAATGAAACATTCTCATGAAAACTATTGTAAATGACTATAATCTCATGGTAAACTTGTATCACATATGTGTAGACCATGTTTTTATGTGATAATTTGTTTATACCAGGTCCCTGAAAGAAACAGAATCTCATGGCTTTGCATTAAACTAAGTTGACTATTGCTTTAAAAGCAAACATTTGTGCAAAGTATGCAAAGTACACACTGTAACACAATCACAGATAATTTATAAAATAAAATGTACTTTAACTCAAAATGACAGGGAAGTAATCACCTTTAATTAGCTGCAGTTTTCACCAGACAGCTGGGTCAGAACAGCAGGCAATCAGTAAAAAGGAGAAAATACAATTTTGTTATTTTTTCTAATATATATAAATGGCATCAAATCTTAGAATTCAACGACTAATGACTTGAATGATTTGAAAAATTTTCTTCTCATTAATTCTCCTGTCCAATGGCAAAATCACCACTGAAAGTAATGTATATTTTGAGACTAATAGTTTAAAAAAGTCAAAGAATACTGAAAAATGTTGATTTAAATAGAGTACACATACATGTTAGTGTGGAGGAAGGAGTGAGGAGAAAGAGAAATACTTGAGGCTTATCAACTTTGGGAAAAAAATCACAAATGAAAATGTTTCTTTCAAAGCTTCTGGAAAGAAATGCAGACATCTCAAACAGCAAAACATCACAGTAACCTACATACTATTGACTTGAAGGAAATCATGGAATGACACAATTTTATTAAGAAGCATTTATACATAGATTACAGAAAATTCTAAACAGTTACTATCTAGAACACTGACTGTCCCTAAAAATAGAAAGATTTGTTTAGCTCTTCCCAGCTCCTCTGTCTCCCTCCTTTGTCAAAATCACAATTGTTTCCAAACTGGTCTCACAAATTCTCCTCTTGCCAGAGCAGTACTTTCAAGACATAAATCATGTCACTCCATTTCCCTGAATAGACTATTTCAATGGCTGGATATTGCATTTAGAGTAAAATGAAAATTCCTTATAAAGTATAGAAGTTTGTTGAGTTTCTATAATCAGAAAACATTTTCTATCATCTCATGGTCACTGTGTTCTAAGAATGCTGGGGCATTGGGACATTTCCTCTACCTGAAATGCCTCTCTCTCTCCTCCTCCATTTCCTTCCAAATACTCCCCGCCGACCCAATCAAACACACACCCCTTGTCCACTCAGAATCTTCCTGCCTGTCTATGTGAGATTGATCTGCTCACTACGTACGTCTATGTCTTTATTGCTTTCTACTTCTCTGTACTCAGCCAGTATTTGAATCATGTCAGATTGCTGCAAATTCCAAGATGCATTAATTTCATCTCATTGAACTTGGTGGCTCATCTATTCAAATTTTCTTGCATAAATTTGTTCACCTGGTAAAGTATTTATATTCATGGCTCAGTTCTCATGGTACTACCTAACTCAAGCCTGTTCTAACCAATTAGATAGAATCAGGCTCACTTTCCACTCTGCTCCCTGCTCCTATTTTATCACGGTTGTTACTATACTTCAGTGCAATTATATCTGTATGTTCGGCTTATCAACCTTCCCTGAAGGGTTCTGCGCAGTGAACCCCAAAAGGAGGCGGTGTTTGTGTTGGGGTTAAAAGGGTGAGCTCTGGATCAGCTTCCTCAGGCCCAGATCCAGCCTCAGCTTGCACTATGTGACTTTTTGTAGAGCATTTACTATCTCTAACTTGCAGTTATGCAATCACTAAAGAGAGGATTAATGATCCTATCTATGGCATAGGGATTAAATGAGCTAATGCATGTAAAACAGTGACACAGAGTAGTCATAGCAAGCTACTTTGAAAGACATATCAGAATTACTGGCTGGGAGGCTTTTTCAAACCACATATGCGCACAGTCTTCACCCTGGTTGTGAATTCCACTGCAATGAGCCCCGTCTCAGGTTTGAATATTTTATATCTGTTAGATATATACCTGATATGAATTGAGAGACTTCTGGGATCAGGAACCAGTAAATAATCAAAGTCCAAATGGTCACAGGATAGGTAACTTTGCTCATGCTCTTTCCCATGCTTGAAATACTATTTTTTTTTTCCTCTTGGGAGAATTTTACAGATCTTTCGAAGTCCAATTTAAATATAATTTTCCAAGTATACCTAATAACTACTACTTCTGTGTTTCCATATAATGAAAAAAAATTGTATACTGTATAGTGGTTATTCATATCATCAACAGTCCTCTTTTTAGTCTATGAGCTATGAGGAAAGAATCTACTTTTTATTTTCTGTTAATTTAATAAACATTTGTTAAATGATTAAGGTATGAGACCACAATGTCTCTAAGATTCTTTACTAATCTAAATTTCATAAATTTTATTATTCTGTTTTACTTTAAGAAACAACTCACCCATAAAATTCATCAGTTTTCCTCTAGAAAGTATTTTTATAACATTTGGTAATATCGAGAACTTGAAAAAATGTTCATTACCTTTGATCCAGTAATTATAAATCTGAATCTATATTATGGAAACAACCAGAGATACAACTTTTAAAAGGGCTATAAATAAGAATGCTCAACATGATATACTTAAGAGCAGTGAAAACTGGGAGGAGTCTAATTTCCTACAAGAATCAAATTACTCACTAAACTACAGCACATTCATGAGACGAATTATGAAACCATCCTAAGCAGTTTTTGAAGTATATGAAATAGTATGGAAAAATGTTTCTGCTATAATTTTCAGTGAGGAAAAACGTAAGATATAAAAGTGAATACAGAATTCCAGTCAAACAGAACTTATAATCAATTTATAGCCTGAGCTTTCCCTCTGTTGAAAACACAGAGCAGTGAACGGTAACATATAAAGAGGAAACTAAGCAGACATAGTATGCTTTTAAAAAATGTAAATATCTCCTTGGACCAGAAATAGTAGAGAAGCCAAAGTTAATAAACAGGGCGGAAGTAGAAGTCATCGAACTATGATCGTGGAGGAATAGATAAAGATCTTGGCTTATGTGAGGACTGGGGATGGGAGAGAACAGACAGGAGGGAAAGGAACCAGTCTCTCTACTGGAAACCCAGAGTGGTAACTGGTCTCCCAAACTCATGCAAAGAGGATGAAAACACCTACAATTCACTGCTTCCTAGGGCTGTAGCCCACATGCAACTCTATGCCTGGGGCAGCAAGAGTAAGTAGCCACAGCTTCCCAGCCCAGACCCCAGCCAAGTCATTCACTAGTGTGGAGACTGGATCTACAATAAACCTAATATGCCCACAGGGCAGGAGCTCTATGCTGCTGCTAGAAGCTTTGATTGTGACTTGGGTACCAAAGGCAGGCCAAGTTAAAGCAATTGAAAAAAAATCAAAAGACAGTGAATGATTTTGGGGGTCAGAAGAAGGGAGTCAGGGAGGGACACATTCACTGATAGAAGGTCTCTATCACAATTCTTCAACTCTGCAGTTGTAACACAAACACAGTCATAGCTAATGTGTATATGATTGGGCGTGGCTGTGTTCCAACTGAATTTTATTTACAAAAGAGGACAGGTTTAGCCCATAGGCCATAATTTCCTGACTTTTTTTTTTTTAAAGACTAGTCAAGTGCAGTAGTGAGAAGGGGGTAAAGAATAGAACGAGCAGTTCAATCTGTAACTGTGAACTTGACACCTTTATAAAAATCATCATTCTAACACCACATAGGAAACTAGTGACTCTGAAGGACAACTTATAAAATCACTGAGTGGAAGATGAATTCATTTCAGATGAAACAACAGCTGAAAAGGACTTTAATATATTTTTACAAATATCAATGACATAAAAGGAAGATAAATATCCAAAACAAGAATAAGAAATTAGAGGGAAAATGAATATGATAAAAACATTAGATATCTTGGAAACAAGAATTATTATGATTTACTGCATTGATAACATAAACATTAGAATTAACAGAGTCAAGAGAGAATGAATGAATTAGAAGATAATGTTGAGGAATGCATGAAGATAATAGCAAAAGGTGGAAGGTGATTTTAAACACATGAAAGAGATGTTAGAGACATGGGGATTAGATTAAGGGGCTAACAGGGATTAGACCAATGTACATCTAAAAGGAGTTTCAGGAAAAAAGAGAAAAGTGAAGTAATACTTGGGCAGACAGTGGCTGAGAAATTTTTCTACACATTAAGGAAGCCATCAGTATTTTAATAGGAAGTTCTAAGTACAGAGCAATACAAAAAATTTTAAAAGAATATATTCATACCATACTTATCCAAGGAAAGCCAAAAATGAATAAGGACAATGAGAAAATTATACAAGTCATCAGAGATAAGACAGCTTATCTACAAAAGAATGAAAATTATTGAAAATAAGAGGTACCAGAAGAAAACAAAAATATCTTCAAAATACTGATGAAAAGTCAGTCAGTCTAGAACTCTATTTCTGGTGAAACTATCATTCCAAAACAAGGGGGAACAATTTTTTTCAGTTTGAGATGGAGTCTCGCTCTGTCATCCAGGCTGGAGTGCAGTGGTACAATCTTCACTCACTGCAAACTCTGCCTTCCAGGTTCAAGCAATTCTCCTGCCTCAGCCTCCCGAGTAGCTGGGATTACAGGCGCCCACCACCATGCCCGGTTCATTTTTATATTTTTAGTAGAGATGGGGTTTCACCATGTTGGTCAGGCTGGTCTTGAACTCCTGACCTCAAGCAATCCACCTGCCTCGGCCTCCCAAAGTGCTGGGATTACAGGTGTGAGCCACTGCACCCGGCCCGGACTAAGAGTTTAACACCCATTCACTCACACTGAAAGAACATCAAATGTGGAGGGGGGAGGAATATAAGATGCAACAATGATAGCACAGTAATTATTTAAATATATTCATAAATGTTATTACCTAATAATTATTAAACAGCAGTAATGTTTTTAAGAAAAATGACAGTACCCAAAGTCTGGAAAAAAACTGAAAAGAAAGTAGAAGGAGTTCAATTGTTAGTTAGAATGTTCTAAAACATTCATCTTATTTAGAAGAATAAATATACTACATAAATTTATAGCATGTTATAAAATTGTATAGTATACAAAATATGTTAGCATTTAGGATTACCCAGTAAATTAACAGGAATACTATGTACATCTTCTTAAATGTTATTGGAGGTGTTAGGAAGAGATATTTAAAAATTTATCAAATAGACAACCAGAAAGAAAATATTAATAGAATATATATGTAAATAAATAAAATTAAATTATCCTAGTATAGACCAGAAACTGAGTGGACAAAAATTGCAAAAATTATGTGCATCATAATCCCAGTTGCATAATTCATGTATGTATGCACATGCAATAAACACCTACCTACCAGATAGAACAAAAGATAAACATTATTTATCATGGAACTGTGGAAATACAAATGTTTTCTTCTCTACATTTTTCAAGGTTGTCTAAAGTTCCTATGCTAAACAGATATTAATTTTAAAATATAACTTAAAAATGGTAAAGATGGTAAATTTTGTATGTATATTTTACCTCAATAAATTTTTTTTAAATTTTTTTTAAAAATCATAAAACAGTAGTGTTCCCTTATCCATGGAGAATACCTTCCTAGATCCCCAGTGGATGCTTGGAGCAGCAGATGGTACTGAAACCTATATATACTATGCTTTTTCCTATATACACATACCTATGCTATAGCTTAATTTATAAACTAGGCACAGTAAGAGATTAAAAAAAAATAATAAAATAGAACAATTATAACAATATACTGTAAAAGTTCTGTGAATATGGTCTCTCTGTCTCAAAACATCTTATCATACTATACTCACCCTTTTTGTGATCTGTTGATCTGATAACCAAGATGGCTCCTAAGTCAGGGGTCCTCAACCCCTGGGCCACAGATGGGTGCTGGTCTGCGGCCTGTTAGGAGCCGGGACACCCAGCAGGAGGTGAGTGGCCAGCAAGCAAGCAAAGCTTCATCTGTATTTATAGCCGCTCCTCATCGCAAGCATTACCGCCTGAGCTCCGCCTCCTGTCAGATCAGCTGCAGCATTAGACTCTCATAGGAGCCAGGACCCTACCGTGAACTGCGCATGTGCAGGATCTCGGTTGAATGCTCCTTAGGAGAATCTAATGTCTGATGATCTGTCACTGTCTCCCATCACCCCCAGATGGGACTCTCTAGTTGCAGAAAAACAAGTTTAGGGCTTCCACTGATTCTTCATTATGATGAGTTGTTTAATTACTTCATTATATATTACAATGTAATTATAATAGAAGTAAAGCGCACAATAAATGTAATGCCCTCGAATCATCCTGAAACCATCCCCCACTGGCTTGTCCACGGAAAAACTGTCTTCCATGAAACTGGTCCCTATTGCCAAAAAGCTGGGGACCACTGTCCTAAGTGATGAACAGGTGGGCAGTATATACAGCATGAATACGCTGAACTAAGTGAGGATCCACGTGCCGGAAGGGATGAAGGTAGACGGCAGGAGGTTTCATCATACCACTCAGAACAGTGCCCAGCATAAAACATATGAATTGTTTATTTTTGAAATTTTCCACTTAATATTTTTGGATCAAGGTTGACTGTGGGTAACTGAAACCAAGGAAAGTAAAACCTTGGATAGGTGGGAAGGACCACTGTAAAATGTTATTTTTAAAAAAGCTTATTTGTTTCCTGTCCTCAAACATAAGGGGAAAAAAGGAAATATCAGAAATGAACAATTTAAATGTAATAGTTACAAACTAGTAGTTGTAAGCCAAAATAAACCCTAAACTAGTTTGAGGGCTGGTTTTTCCTATAAATCTCTGGAAAATGGACATTGCTTCAACTTGAAGGTATAGTTGATGAATTTTAAACTTGTTTTCAACTCAGATATTGAAAAGAGAGAGAGTGTGTGAGTACAGGGAGGAAGAACAGAAAGAAAGAGGATACAGAGAAGAATTTGCATGAGAACATTCTCATCCAGTTCCGGTAACTTAATTACTCAATGCTCCGTGCATGTTGAGTTGATTTAAGTCATGTGGCAAATGCTACAATTCCTATTCAAGAAAGGCACTGGAACAGAGTCATCATTTGGCATGACTACATCAAGAAAAGCTGCTGACAGCCAGAAGAGATCAAAAGCAGATCAGGTTGCTTAACGAACTACAAGTCGCTGAGCTCAGAAAGCCAGGGAAGCACCCTGAGGAAATATGGAAATCTTGGGAGTGAGCAGAGAAACTAAACACAGTGGATGTTATTATAAAATGCTAAAATGAGATTCAGTCGTCTCATTAAAATGTCTGAGCCATAACACATTATTTTTCAGCCTTTCCTTAGAAATAAAAATCAAGTCTCTAAGCAGAAACAGAAGTGCTAGAGCCAGCAGATGAGCTACTATGATTATTGCTTAACTGTCTTTATCAAACTAATCCCACTGCTTATTCTATGTTTACCTTATTATGAATGGCCAAGATTTATTGGATATTTATTGTATGAAAGGTATTGAGATAAATGCTTTCTATACGTTATCCTATTTTCTAAACCTTGTTATAACAACTTGCCTCTGGGAAACAAAATGTGGCCATATGAATCTTCTTAAATGAATTCCCTCACTTGATCACTTAGAAGGAATCATTTTTGTCAGGAGTTCGAGACCAGCCTGGCCAACATGGCAAAACCCTGTCTCTACTAGAAATACAAAAAATTAGCTGGAAGTGGTGGCATGTGCCTGTAATCCCAGCTACTCAGGAGGCTGAGGCAAGAGAATTGCTTGAACCCAGGAGATGGGGAGGCAGAGGCTGCAGTGAGCCGAGATTGTGCCACTGCACTCCAGCCTGGGTGACAGAGCAAGACTGTCTTAAAAAAAAAAAAAAAAAAAAAAAAAGAAAAGGAATAATTTTTAATAGGCTACTTTGATCAAAGTAGACATTATTTCAAAGTAATTGTTCCTAAAATAACATAATCCAATAATTTTCCGTTTGACTCCCATTTAGTCAGATAGACGTACATATCTATTTATATCCCTCTCGTTCCTAAAAAGGACATGAGGCAGATTTCATGCGTTGTTGATACGAAATTCTACATTTGGGTATATCTTTTTTTCCCAGTAACTGAATTTATATTTCAGTCCATAAGATTTCCTTCCTCAAGTCATAAAACATCTTGTTTTTCATGGAAAACCCCAAATTGAGAAAAGCAAAAAAAAAATGAGGTAAATTATGATTTGTCAGTTTTTAATCCTCAGAGTTTGACAGCTTTGTAAATAGCTCTTCAAGCTGATTCCATTTTTTAAGAAGAGTAATATATAATTACATTATTTCATCAACTATAGCATCATTTCTCCAACCTTCCCTGTAAGTTCCTCAAAGGTAAATGCCATTCTTCTGTTACTAACACAGTACACCAGCCTTGCATTTCTCAAAATATGTTTCAGTGACTACAGAACACACCAGAGATTCTGTGAAAAAAGTTCTCTGTAATAAATGGGAAAACAATTGCAACCACCTTTTTTTTTTTTTTTTTTTTTTTTTTTTTGGAGAATACCATGAAGTCCTTTTAACTTTAACTTAACATTCATTTGGTCATGAAACTCCCCATTTCAACAATTCTATCAAATTGTAACAGGCTGTGTTCAGATTGGGGAAAATACTGTGCCAGACAAATGTGATCATTGTTGGCCAAGGGCACAGGTCTGATGATATCTGAAAAATAAGTTCATCTTTCCCTGACATAAAGTGTAAACCTTCAGGGTTAAAATCCTCTCTTTAAACTCTGAGGTACTCAAAAATTGCTAAGATGCTCCTTCAATATCTAATCTTCTGTGCTACCAAATGTAGGCACCTAGCACTTGTAGGTGGCAAATGCAGATGCGGAAATAGTATTCAGAGGCGCTGGCTGCTTGTCTTTTTCTTTCTTTATTTTTACTTATTTATTTATTTATTTTTGAGATGGAGTTTCGCTCTTGTTGCTCAGGCTGGAGTGCAATAGCACAATCTTGGCTCACTGCAACCTCTGCCTCCCAGGTTCAAGTGATTCTCCTGCCTCAGGCTCCCAAGTAGCTGGGATTACAGATATGTGCCACCATGCCTGGCTAATTTTGTATTTTTAGTAGAGATGGGGTTTCTTCATATTGGTCAGGCTGGTCTCGAACTCCTGACCTCAGGTGATCTGCCTGTCTCGGCCTCCCAAAGTGCTGGGATTACAGGTGTGAGCCACCATGCCTGGCCGGCTGCTTGTCCTTTTCAAACCCACTATCTGGTGTTAGCTAGGTCTTTCTTTTTAGCTCCAAGTCTTGCAAGAACTTGCCATTTTCATAATTACATGTATGTTTAATGCCTATAGTAAGAAGTTGTGTATTTATCATAAGAAAATGGGATCACATTCCGAAGTGATGCAACTCCAGAAAGCAAACATAAATCCTGATATCCTGATAATAGGGTCACCCATTCCGCTCCTTTATCAAATCACCTGTAAACTATGAAATCCTACTTTACAAGACTGAACTATTGATTGAAGTGGGAAGTATTTTCCAGATCCCCTAGAAATGCCTCTAGCATTTACACATCATAGTGTGTGTAAATTTCATAAGCAAACCAAGATGCCTGTCATCAGGTTGAAGTATAATACTATAGCATGAGTGGGTTTTTTTGTTGCTTTAAGAATTCATTCTTAGCTTAAAATACACAGTACCACAATATTATACAAATGTAACATAGTTTTATTTATTATTATTGTATGAAAAACAGAGCAAGTCAAGGCAGTCTTTCTTGGCCTCAGTCAATGAGCACCAACTTGTAAGGCTCCAACAGGGTACATGTAATGACAGAATTTCAGCCCTCTTCAACAGCGGTTACTGTAACCTTTGTGGATCCACAGCACCTAGCAACTGTCTGCCATGAACCAGGTCCGTAATAAATGTTGTTGAATACATAAGAACTATAACCACACTACATAATGTCCCTATGCTCACTGAAATCCATTTTAAAACACCTGTAACTAGAATATAACAACTCTATGAATTTGATTACAGATCAGTATCTTTGGATAAACACATCTCAAAATTGGGAGTCTCTTAAAAAGTTCTATCTTTTTGGTTTCTGGACAGGGGTAACCAGGCCTTTTCTTCTCATATAGTAACACAATATCAAATCAAAAGCTCGGGTAAATGTATTTACTTCTCATCTGTATGTAATACAGCAAGAAAGAAGCTGAAATAGACAGCTGAGGTGTTCGCAACTCAATAAGAATATCAAGAAAAGGGGATAGCAGGAATTTTACTTACAAAATAAAAAAATCTGCAAACTATTTGCTTTTTTGTAAATGCTACTTTTAATTTAGAAATTTGAAAAATTTCGGCCTATTATTCTTCAAAATAATTTTATGTAAAGCTTGACTGGTAATAAAACAATATACATGTATGTGGTTTTTAAGTAGAAGATATTTTGTTCCCAGGAAAGTTCATAAGCCAGAAAATCCTGGGCAAGTACACCAAGGGAAAATGGGGAAGGACTATTTATCTTCTATTACAACAATGACATAATTTGTATCCAACCATGACATGACCAATACCAAAATGTTCTTGGTTATAAAATGAAAACAAAATGTAAACTTATTCCTGACAAGACAGATTGTTAATTGAAATAACCAAGATATTACTTAATAACCAAATTTTTGATACACATAACTTTTTAAACAACCAAAGAATAAGAATATAGGCAAAATTGTTCTTTCGCCACACACACACAAATTTAGTTCTATAAAGATAAAAAAGATTACTTTTCTCTAAAAACATTGAAAAGTCTGCCTTCTCTCATTAAAAAAGCATAAACAGAAAACATGAGTTCAGGATTTTAAGTTACCTTTCAAGTCTTTCTTCAGTTTTCTGAGATCTTTTTGAAAATCTTCAAACTTCATCTGTGAGGCCTGAAAAAGGTCCTGGGGTTCTGGCAGTGGAAAGAGGCACTGTTCTTTTCCAGCATCCTAATGAACAAAAAACCCCATCATATTTAAAGAAATTGGTTATCAATATAAAAAAGAATAATAGCAGGTATGTCCAAAACAAAAACAACAACAAAAAGTACTGCCAAATCATCCAACGAATAAAGAATAATGGAATATGACTATATGTAAAAATTGTCTTACCTCATCAAAATTTCGGAGATAATACGAAACAATATATGACAAAAGGCTTCTGCTATTGTCCTAGGCAGAAAGACCAAAGTCAGTGACAATATATTTTTTAACTAATTAAATATAAAGTGTTACCAAAAAAGATTCTAGTGAATTCATGTATATACATGAGAACATTTGGAATGAAATGTGAAATTTTACATTTTGGATTGTCTTGGCCATTGTGTCTAAGGAGTTTGGTGGCTTAAAAGATTTTTCTCCCCAGTGTTCCAATCTTAGCACAGCTATTTAGGGGCAAAGTCTGAACTGTAAATACTTTCCAACTGTTACCCCCCTCAATTAGAAATTTAGCTCATGTCTTGTATATTTTATTATTTTGTGTTTTTATTGTTTTTGTTTGATAATTTTTTATGTTTTAAAACTACTATATTAAAAGAAATAATTTAGCATTGATATATAGCTGGACTAACAGATACCACTCCAACAGTAAGTTTGATTGAGGCTCATTAGCATATAGATTAGGGAAATAAAAAAGCTAAGTATCATTTTAAGTAAAGCGGAGCTTTTAACCATTCCAATACTAAGTAAAGGGGAGCTTTTAACAATTCCAATATTATAATTTGTTATATCAGCAATTGAGATTTGAGGAGTTAACACTCATGTGGTTATAAATAAGACAATGTGGATATTTCTATTTAAAAAAAGGTAAAATTGTTTCATATCTAACACACTTCAAAAATACCTTTTCACCTCCTTTCTGGTTTATTTAGGCGCATTAATTTTTATTTTACTCTTTTTTTGTATTGTTCCAAAGTAGTAGTAGATAATCTGAATTTGAGAGCTCAAGTATATATTTTACTTTAAAAACAAACCCTATGATACAAACTACATTCTCTGGAATGTTTAATATAACCACGATTTTTTCTATATTTGTAAAAAGAGCAAAACCTCTTTATAATCAAGTTTGACATGAGTCAGTAATGTAGCTATTAGAGATATCCCTCATTAGACAGGATTTGCTTGTAAAATGATTTAAGCAACTTGACTTCCTTTCTCTCTCCCAACTTGTAATTCAATGAAACGGTTGGCAGCACCTGAATCAATTAACAAAACTAGGCATGCTGAGAGAAAATTCTAAGTGATCAAAGTAACAGCTCTGTCCATGGAGGTCTATAAATAGTACTAAGGAATAAATATAGTTACATTTGTTTTACAGAGAAAGAACCAATTCAGGAAGACTTTGTATAGCTCTTCTGAGTACAAGTGAAACTATTTTAAAAACGTATTTCTTGATTACATATTTAAATTTTTATTTTAGATTACCTCTTGATTATTTAAATTAATGAAATTTAACCTAACAGAGGATTGAATAAGATATATAAACTGATACCAAAAAAGTCCCACAAATAATCTCTTATTTATATATGATCACTAGAATCTATTTCCAGTTCATTTCTATAATTTAAATATGATATTGATGCTATAGATTTCAATGTTATTTGCAAAAGTTGTTTCACTCCAACAAGCAGTTGCTGAGTATTGAAGAATTACCATAGGTTAAGAAAAGGGCTTTTCTTTCTTTTTTTTTTTGAGAAGGGCTCTCACTGTATTGCCCAGGTTGGCCTTGAAAAGTCCTCCCAAGTAGCTGGGATTACGGGCTCATGCTATTGCACTCGGCTTCAGCATTTTTTTTTTAACAAATGTAATTTATCAGCTCTCTATAGTAGATACTTCTATGAAAATGTGTATCATACACATGAGCATTTGAACAATTATAAAAATAAAAAAATCATATGCTGCTGGTGTACCAAGGAAGGACTATGAATTATTCGATTTTGGAAGAGCAGTGTCCACATTCCATAGATGCTCAATGAAAGAATATTGCATGAATATCTGTATTAATTTGACAACACACACACACGTACACAGAGACACAGTCTCCGACTCCCGATGCTTCATCTTACAATTTTTTGACTTTACAATGGTACAAAAGTGATACGCATTCAGTAGAAACTGTACTGCGAGTACCCATACAACCATTCTGTTTTTCACTTGCAGCACAGTATTCAATAAATTACATGAGATATTCAGCACTTTATTATAAAATAGGCTTTGTGTTAGATGATTTGCCCAACTGTAGGCTGAGGTAAGTGTTCTGAGCATGTTTGAGGCAGGCTAGGCTAAGCTTTGATGTTTACTAGGTTAGATGTATTGAATGACTTTTCACTTATGGTATTTTCAACTTAGGATGGGTTTATCAGGCCATAACTCCATTTTATGTTGAGAAGCATCTGTATATAAAACAATAAACAAATTGTTGGCTGGCAGAAAAGATTTTTAAAAGTCTCTCTCTCCCCCATGAAGGAAATTATTTCATTATCTAGGAAGGACAGTCCTACATATTTTTATTTCTACAAGCCAATTATTAAACTTAATATTTCAAAAACATGTCCAGAATTTCCTTTATCCTACTTTTTTGTGTGATGATTTTTTTATCAGAGAAATGTAACTCTTTTATTTTTTAAGTTTACCGTCTCAGACTTGAGTCTGTGACTCTAACCATCATTCCTAACCTCATATTTCTACTGGCACTCTCACAATTGCTTAGACATTAATTTCAAACAAACACAACTGCAGAAGTAGTACCAAAAAATGATTAGGTCTGCAAGAGAGCTTAGACATCCCCCTACACACCAGTATCAAGGAGAAAATCATATGCAGCAGAGTAGAATCACCTTTTATATTTTGTTTACAAGCCATTTTACTCATCATTGTGTTATTTTCAAAATATGGACCTATTGGCCTTCATTGCTTAACATGACAAAGAAAAAAAGATATACTGTCTAATTCATAGAAAATAATTAGCCTTCAGATTCCAAAAGGATAAATATTAGCAGACATGGGAAAGATATGGTAAAAGAAATTATTGTTTTATATTAAAACAATATAAAAAGTTATTTTGTATTGTTTTTATATTAAAAAGTTGTAATTATACATTAGACATAAGAATGAAAATTATTCACTTTAGGAAACATTAATCACAAAATCACAAATATCTGATGGACATTACTTTTTTCTAGCTCAGAACATAAAGAAGCATTTGACCTAGGAACATAAATATTTTTTACAACTGCTTTACATTCAAACCCATTACTAAACAAAACCTTGACTCCTCAATGTGCTTACGTCCACTCATGCAAAATACTTACACTGCTCTTGACATCTTTCAGTTTTGGAAGAATGTCTAATCCAAAGCCATCTGCCTGTCCTCGAGTCTTATTTCCTCCATTCATGTAGTTGCCAAAGGCAAGAACCAAACCTAGAACCTGCATAACCCCTGGGCCATTTTTTAATGTCTGTAAAACAGAATAACAACAAAAAACAACTTTTATCTTATACCAGGTTTTGTTTGAATCATCGAGTTGATGCCAGCTATTTATATTATATTAGGAGTTTTGGGTCACAACCGAACTTTATCATTCCTAATTATTAGGTATATTTTAAGAGCAGTATCCTGAAAGTTAGTAAAAGTTGCACCACCCACAAACATTCAGGTATGCCTTTGTAAGCTGGGGGATGCTATGTTAGGCCATTTCTGTGATGTAACTGCAAGGAAAACAAGCCTGTGTGAGAACTATTAAGGCTATATGGGAACAAAGGCTATATGATAACTATTAGATAAGGCCAAATGAGAACTATTACAAAATAACATCACTAATATCACTGCCATTGTCTTAATGGTGCCTACGTCTGGAACAATACCAATGTTTGGCATCAGCAGAGGAAACCAAAAAGCAGATTCAGAGATTAATTTCTAAATTTAGGTTTACCCCCAAAGAGCTCACACTCATTTCTTTCAAAACACTGTGTTTAACTTGACTTTGCATGTCACTTCTTCTGAAAATGTGAGCCTTTAAAAACATCTTTTCACTTTTCAAAATGATTTACCGCAACTAGAACAAATGGTATTACTGATATTTGACAAATTGTTTTAAATGTTAACATTGGTCGTTTCTGCCAAGCATTTATTTTTTGTTTTCGGAAGAATATTTGTCTTCTGTTGAGTCATATGGCTGTTCCTAAATTATTTGGCTGGAATAATTATTAACAGTTTGTGGAGAGGTCCTTCCAGATAACGAAAGAAAGTAAAAAAAAAAGCCTTCAAATTACATTCCTTTGGAAGTCTGATGTCTGAGAGGACCGTGAAAACTGAAGATTTTGTTTTGGCAAAAGGAGAGGGCAGAGAAATCTCTGGAGGCCAACATGTATTGGCCACATTCTAGCAATGTGGTCCTGTAGCCCTGGGCGCCCGCCGGAACATTTACTTTGATCTTGAAGGTCAATCATAAAATGTTCCCTTCTGTGGGACTGCGATCCTTCAAATTTGGTGAGTACTTAGAGTAAATAAAAGAATGCTTTTCTGAAATAAGAACATGGCTGAGCACAATTAAATGAGACTCAAGTTCAGCTCTCTTTGGACCAGAACTCACCTCACACAATTTCTGTAGTAATTCCAGTTTGCGACGAATTGAGCAAATGCTTTCTGAAAATGTGGACTGGAACAGGATGCAAAAGACTCGCTCTGAAAAGTTGGGGATTAGTGACAGTTCATAAAGGAACCTAAGGAAATAAAGCCAAGTTAAGAAGAAAAATATAATTCACATAAACAGATGTTTATCCTCATCTCATTCACAACAAGTATGCACTGAAGACACCGCATTTGCATTTTCCAAACAAAACGGGCCCACCCATAGCCTGGACGCCCTCTACGTGGTTATAAGACATGCTTACTGTTCAGGTTTGTCCAGAGACTTGGCATTTTCCTTGTCTTTGGAAGATCGGCCATGCTTTTCTATTTTTTCGAGTTCGTCTGACTGTGCTCTCTAGAAAAACAAAAACCAAATAGTTTTTCAAAGTCTGGCCAACTGAATCCCTTAGATAATAATCTAATTATCTTGATAAATTTGCTGATCTGAATACAGCGAAACGCTATATATTTTCATGTTTCTTAGCATCTGTATATAGTAAAGCTTGACTTAATTCATGAGGCATTTTAAAGTGTAAATATGGCCGGGTGTGGTGGCTCATGCCTGTAATCCCAGCACTTTGGGAGGCCAAGGCGGGCGGATCACCTGAGGTCAGGAGTTTGAGGACTGGCTTGGCCAACATGGTGAAACCCCATCTCTACTAAAAATACAAAAATTAGCGGGGCATGGTGGCAGGTGCCTGTAATCCCAGCTACTTGAGAGGCTGAGGCAGGAGAATCACCTGAACCTGGGAGGAGGAGGTTGCAGTGAGCCTAGATTGCACCACTGAACTCCAGCCTGGGTGACAGAGCAAGACTCTTGTCTCAAATAAATAAATAAATAAATAAATAAATAAATAAATAAATAAATAAAATAAAGTGTAAATATGTTTAATGCAAACCAGATTATCCCCAAATCTTCCAAATAATGTTATTGACCATTAGTGATCTGAGAAATGTTTATTCATTCAAGCATGCTTTAAAACAATAGTTTTCCTTTGTTATTTTGCCTGTCTATAATACTTTCTAGAACACAGGCATTTCATTTTATAAAGTAGTATTTCTTATTCAGAAGTCAAGTTGAATTTGGAAGTAATTTGATACTAAAGGTTTCATAACATTTTTAAAGAAAAAAAGTATTTATTTAACTATGGAAATCATTGTTTATTGATTTTTGTACTTGGGGGAAAATATAATTAAATGATTTAAGTCATGGAACAAAAATAAAAGGTTTTGATCCTTTTGCTGGATTTTCTTTTTCTTTTTTTTTTTTTTTTTTTTTTTTTGAGATGGGGTCTTGCTCCGTCACCCAGGTGGGAGTACAATGGCGCCACATCTGCTCACTACAACCTGCGCCTCCCGGGTTCAAGCCATTCTCCTGCCTCAGCCTCCTAAGTAGCTGGGATTACAGGCACCTGCCACCACGCCTGGCTCATTTTTTGTATTTTTAGTAGAGACAGGGTTTCACCATGTTGGCCAGGCTAATCTTGAACTCCTGACCTCAGGTGATCCACCCATCTCGGCCTCCCAAACTGCTGGGATTACAGGCATGAGCCACTGCGCCTGGCCTGGATTTTCTTTTTGATACAAAAATGACTCCATGCTTATTTTCTTCTTAAGTGTCTTCTGTTACCCTTTATAATCGCAAACTAAAAATTTGTCATTCTAAATGTGTTTCCTTATGAGAGAAGATCCTGTACATTTTAATATTAATATAGGGTAGGAGATTTTATAGACTTCAAGAAGCACAAATCTGTCTTTATTTTATAGAGTATTTGGATTATTTTTATTTGTAGTCCTGTCTTTATTATTTTACAACTCACAAAGGTGTATTAAAAGAGCCAAAATATCACATTTTCTTCATGCATTAAGAATAGACCACTATATTATGATTTCTGAGTCGTCTTCAGAAGTTAATATTCTTTCAATATTATTTTTGTTTAAATAGACGAGCAGCTCAGCCGAGAACTGCTATAGAAGCTACAGCCTGATAAATTTCAAGAGAATTGATAGATACTACCTAAACAAAGCTAGGTTCTGCTTTGTATTTACTGATTGTTTTGAGATGCAGGTTTTCAGTTGATAGGATTAACTAACAAAGACGTGTCTCAAAAGAAGTTTCTTTTAACGAGAGAAGAATTGATGAGAGATCTGCCAGAGAAGCTGATCCTCTGACAGTTTCATAAATTTTGCATTTGGAATGTGATGCGTCAAAAGAATACAAAGAAGTAACGGAGGTACATTTCACTGCAAATATCCCAAGCTACTCAAAAAATTAAAACTCTTCTTCTAGAATTTCAATTGCACAGTAATCTTACTTTTATCTCCAGTTAATTGTGGCTTTGCTCAAGAATTTTACTACTTGAGCAAATACTACTTCATTCGTCAGTTACCTATGAGAGTCAGCCTCATAAATAATATCATAAGACCATGTAAAGCCATATTACAAGACAGACTTTTAAAAATGACAATACCCATCTTTCTGGCAAATGAGAGACTCAGGTAATATTCTAAAAGAACATTAAAGCTAAGAATACAGACAAGGCAAGGGTTGTTTTAAGACACACAAGTCCCCACCAAAGTATAACACATAAAGGTCTCCAATCCCTATAACCTCTTTATTGTCTTAAAGGAAAGAGTTTCTACCAGAGCAGTTGGTTAGTCAACTATCTCCGAGCCTAACCCCTTTCTATACCCAAAACCTCATATAAAAAAAAAAAATCCAGCTTGCTACAGTTTGGTGACATAATTAGGTTTCTTAGTTTGATTTTGTTTAGACACCTTAATATACACTCAATCTAGCTGTTGAATAGACTCAACGTGGGGTTGAATGACCAGAATCCTACTCCATGGACACAGTAAATTTCCCTGGGTCTTAAACAACACAAAAACAAATCAAAAGGCAGCTGTAAGCGCAAAAAGATGGCTAAAGTAAATCAGAGTAATAATTAAAGATACAAGAGAAGGATGAAATTCATCAATGTCTTCAGAACAAAGTGACTTTCTACTAGTACTCTAGAGGCACTCCCCAAACTATTCAGCACATATGAATTACTAATTGCACAGTCCTTTATACCTTGTACTCTATTAGACCATTTCTGCTCACTTCAGAAAGAAATAAAGCTGCCCTGGGCTGACAGTAAACTTTTTGGCAAGTCAAGGGAACTGTCACTTTATCTATGCCCCATAAACTCCTTTCTTGTTATCCACAACTATGGGTACATAGTTTCTCTTTTTCTCTCTGGGGCTTAGTTAACTCCACCTCAGGTAATCTCTGGCCCTCTCACTCTCATATACACATGTGCACAAATATATACATACATGTGTACACACACACGGTCAATTCTTGCTATTTATGGACTGGGCACTGAATCAGCATATACTGAACTATTACTTCTAGAAAAAATATAGGGCTCCTGTGAGCCTCTGGGGTCACAACATTTTCATTGACTCACCAATATGTAACATTGTTTGATGTTTAAAGACATTTAATATATTCTGTTGATTCATTAATACTCAAGGCCAGCAGCACCATAGCTCACGCCTCAACAAAGCTTGTCCAGCACACAGATTTTTCCCCATCAGGTACATCACAGCCGTCTTGTGCTCAGAAACACTAGCCAGCACTTTAACACTGTGCTTGGGGCCCTCTTAGACTCCAAAATCACTAACAAAAGCACAACAGTGCAAAAAACATGGTACTAAATGGACTGCAAAAGGGATGCCTTACTGCACGAGAGCTGAAACAAAAAGGCAGAACATTGCCTTGTTCGATTTCAGTAAGAACATGTATGTGTGTTGGGAGACTCAAATTTTTCACCACTCAGTACATGTCTGCAAATAACTATAAAAGCCCCATGTGTGTCAGTTTTGGAGTTAACTGACACTAGGCAAGTTAGCAAATATAGAATCTGCAAATAATGAAGATCAAATCTGTATGTGTGTGTTTGTATGCATATATACACATGTGCATTTATATGAGAAAGTATACACTCTAATAAGTATACACTCTTTTTTTAACCTATGTTACTTTTGGAGGAATATGGCCAAATGAAGCCTTCCTTATCCTTCTCTTTTTTTTTTTTTTTTTGGAGACAGGGTCTCACCGTGTCACCCAGGCTGAAGTGCAGTGGCGCGATCTCAGCTTACTGCAGCCTTGACCTCTTGGGCTCAATAGGTCCTCCCACCTCAGCCTCTCAAGAAGTTGGGACTACCCTCCAGCTAAGTTTTGTTTTTTTTGTAGAGACGGGGTTTTGCCATGTTGCCCAGGCTGGTCTCAAACTCCTGGGCTCAAGCTGTTTGCCTGCCTCAGCCTAGATATACAGTATGAATCCCCTTCATTTTCCCCCTTCAACCGATTACTTCAAAAACATATCCCTTTTCATTCTACAACCACAGCGATGATTGACATGCACAAAGATGGTAGTGGTACACCTGAATCCATGCATTTTGAAACATTAATCATCTTAAAGAAACACATAAGCCAATCCCTAAAGCTTTTGACGCATCTTAGAATTCCCCTCATAGTTTGTAAACACCCCAACAAATTACAGACATGCAGTGAATATTCATTATTTAAGTAAATACCCCCACAACTATAACGTAGTACAGCTACAGTTTTGTTTTCAATTTTTTTTTTTGATGCAAGGTTTAAAATAGTCATTTGTGGACTAGTCCAAGAGCTAAACCTGTTTTTGTTTTCTTTTTCTCTTTCTTTCTTCCCTCCCTCCCTCCCTCCCTCTCTCTCTCTCTCTCTTTCCTTCTTTCGACAGGGTCTCACTCTGTCACTCTGTTGCCCGGGCTGTAGTGCAGTGATATGATCTCGGCTCACTACAACCTCTGCCTCCCAGGTTTAAGCAATTCTCATGCCTCAGCCACTTAGGTAGCTGGGATTACAGGTGTGTGCCAGCCACCATGCATGCCCAGGTAATTTTTGTAGTTTTAGTAGAGACAGGGCTTCGCCATGTTAGCCAGGCTGGTCTCGATAGCCTCAAGTGATCCGCCTTCCTGGAGCTCCCGAAGTGCTGGGATTACAGGCATGAGCCTCTGCGCCTGGCCTTAAACCATTTCTTGTAGCACAGTTTGTATTTTTTAAAAATCGTTTTCATCAAGTGCCAATTTTCAAATAATGCCCTCTCCTATTCAATCCGACAGTGCTCTGGAAAAGGTAACTTCACCAGAATAGTGTATAAATCAATAGCAAATGAAAAATTACCCAGTTGGAATGTCCAGATGGGGAGATCTCTAAAGTGTTAGGAATGTAAAGCAGGCTTGAAATTGGTGCTTTCAATTCATCAAATAAGTATCACTCGCGGACCACAACTCACTATTATGGTAAGGGGGAAAACAAGGGCTAGCAAATCCCAACTCTTGCCTTCAGGCAGCCCAAACAGGAGGCAGACAAAAGAATAAACTGCCATGAAACAGTGTGACAGGTGTTCCTTTTGTGGTACTAAGTAATGGTAGCATGACAGTGAGGCTTGAGAGAACTTGGAACATTCGGAGAGCTGCGAGGGCAAAAGATACCATTGGGAATCAGCTGTCCTTAAGTCAGACATGAAGAGAACCCTGAGGAGGAAGCTTCAGAGGAAAGACAGAAGTCAGCCAAGGACAGATCCTGGGGGAGGCTCACCTATCAAGAAACAGGCAAGAGGAGGAAGAACAGGAAGGAGGATGAGGAGAAGCCAGCAGAGATGTGAGAGAAGAGGTCAGAGACAGAAAATGTAGGAAAGTAGACATTTTTATCCTCACAAATGGGAACAACAACGGAAGGGAAGAACAAGGACACAGAGGATTTTGATACAGAAAAGAATATTAGAAAGATCTTTCACGTGGATGATCTCAACTTTGTTACTAAATTTGGAAGTGAGGTTACTGCCCATAAATAAGGAAGGTCAGGTTGAAGAGGATGACACAGAGTGAAAAAGGTCAAAGGTCTGGGCCAGGGGCATGGCTCACGCCTGTAATCTCAGCACTTTGGGAGCCCGAGGTGAGCAGATTGCCTGAGTTCTGGAGTTCGATATCAGCCTGGCCAACATGGCGAAACCCTGTCTCTACTAAAAATACAAAAAATTAGCCGGGCGTGGTGGCAGATGCCTGTATTCCCAGCTACTCGGGAGTCTGAGGCACAAGAAATGCTTGGACCTGGGAGGTGCAGGTTGCAGTGAGCCGAGATTGGGCCACTGCACTCCAGCCTGGGTGAGAGAGTGAGAGAGAGTGAGAGTGTGAGAGAGAGAGAGAAAGAAAGAAAAGAAAAGAGAGAGAAAGAGAGAAAGAGAAAGAGAAAGGAAAGGAAAAGGAAGGAAGGAAAGAAAAAGAAAAAAGAAAAGAAAAAGGTCTGAAGAGTCAATGTGTGAGGAATGCAAACAAGGGGAGAGAAGAAAAGGAACTAAAATTCAACAATGATGAACCAGCCACGGAAAATAAAGAGGAGGGGGGTTCTTGGGGATGGCGGAAGATCAGGAAGGGAAATCAAGTTATTATGAAATGAACTTGAGGAACAATGAAGATAAAGAACAGGTTTAGAGAAGTTATGACATAGACAAAAAAATTAACCTCCTAAATATCTTGCAAAGGATAAATGGCAACATGCTTGCCATGGAACACCAAGGGGACCACAGTTCAGCTTCACTCTTTTCCAGGAACGTGTGTGCCAGCCACAAGCCCTCTCTCATGGTGACACGGAACAACAGTGCTTTCCATCCCCCACAGTGCCCTTCCACGTGTGGATTCCTCGGTCTGAAAGGCTCATTACGTATACATGCTCAGTCACTTCATGGGGGAACTGTTTCTTGAGGAAAGACCCTCTTCCAACTACTTTTCCTCTCTAGCATACCGCCACTGTAATTTTATTTATTTTTGTGAATTTTGGGTTTATATCTTCCACACAGAGACTGGAAGTTCTGTGAGGACAGGGACAACACCTGTCTGTTTCTCGTCTCTAAATCCTCTCTCTGTCGTAGCAAAGCCTGAGTGTTGGCACGCCTGGCAAGGAAGAGAGAAATTCCTTTGCGTGGACACTTTCAGCAAGCACTGAATTAGTATAATATCATAGAATCATAAAAATCTCAGGGATGGAAAGAAGCACAGGCCATCAACTATAGCAATTCTCAAGCATTTTAGACCGAAGATTCTTTACTCTCCTAAAAATTATAGAAGATGCCAAGGAGCTTTAGTTTTTGAGGATTACAGAGGGTCCTCAACTTACTATGGTTTGATTTATGATTTTTTTTTAAACCATAGTAAGTTGGGGTGGGAAAAGCAATAGACTTTCAGTAAAAATCATATTTTGAATTTTGACTCAAAATTTTTATATTAGCTTTATATAAAATCGGCTTTTTGTGACATGATTTTGTCCAACTGTAGGCTAAGGGTGGCTAGGGAAAGCTGTGATATTTGATAGATAAGCTAGGTGTATTAAATGCACTGTTTATTAAAGATATTTTCAACTTATAATGGGTTTACTGGGACATAACCCCATCATAAGTTGAGGAGTATCTGTATAGCTACTGATATTTACCATATTAGGTATTAAACCAAGAAGTGTTTCAAATATGTATTCATTCAATCAAAATTATCATAAAAGTCCATTAATGTAAAAATAATTTGATTTTTTTCTTTAAATTAGAGGAGTCGCAATGTTTAACATTTTTGAAGTTCTGTTTATTGTCTGGCTTATAGCTGGAATCTGTATCTGCTTTTGCATTCAATCTAATGTGATTTGCTGCTTTGGATGAAGTATAGGAAAAGAATCTAGCTTCATACAGATAGGTAGTTGGGAAAGTGAGGAATATTTTAATAGCTTTTTCAGATAAGTGTAGATAATCTTTAGTACTACACCAAGTTAGTGAAAACCATATCAATTTACTTTTTGTACTATGTTACATAAAAATTTATTTTCTATCTTGCAATGAGAATGGTCATTTAAAAATTATTGATTCACTGATTTACACAGAGCTCCCAGATTCTGGGATATGTCATTTTGGATTACTAAAAATAAAGTCAATTCTTTAAAAATACCATCTGTAATCCTATCAGAAAAAAGTATTTAAGTATAGGTGAAACTTTCAAGCTTATGCTGGTGGATAAAAGACTTCCAACATTCTAATTTTTGCTTTAGAGCTTAGACTTTATCCTTGGTAACAAATACTCTGAGTGGTTTTCCTTGACGTAACTGGCTTACTTTGTTCAAGAAAATGTCTAGCAAATATCAAGGTATGAATAACCACGGTTTGCAGTCTGGTTTTCAGGTAGAAATGGTGTTCAATGAAAAAAAAAAAACAAGTTCAATTCACAATTTAAATAATCACACAAGTATTTTTCATCAAAATAACGACATACTTTGCCATGCAGTAGACTTTATGTTTACTTCCCACCTCATCACACAGAAGATTCAGACACATATTAAATAGCTGAGTTTTAATAGAATAGATCATTTTTATTGCTCTATCAAAGGAAATGACTTTTTCCCCCTGTGAGAGCATAGTGGTGAAGAATTACAGCAACAACTTAGTTTGGTGTCACTGCCTTGGTTCTTGCTGAGGCACCAGCGTTTTTACCTACCGCTGCTTTTGCTTAATCAGCACAGCTGTTTACACAAGGAGGCAAATACCATCTTAGCGGTATCAGGAAAATAGTTTTGACCTTGCAGATCCCCTCAAAAAGAATGGCAGGAATCCCTGGGCATCCACGGAGCAGACACTGAGAACTAATGTTCGGTAAAACCTTCCTATCTAGCTGATCATTAAATTCTCAACCACCCACCCCCATACTTAAGCACTTTGAGTGACAAAATTCACTGTCGTCCTAAATTGGTCATCACATCTTTAAAGAACAGTGTTCAGAAACACCAAAACTATGGGCTTCTTTATACTAAACAAAACATTTCCTCTACTTTTAGCTATCGGTCCCAGGTCCACTCTCTAGGGTCATTTCAAAATCTCTTTCAGATATGTGAGGAAGCTACAATTTTCCTCATTTGTCTTCTGTGCTAAGTACCTGGTTCTTTGCCATTTACATGGAACAAACACGAGCCATTGTTGAAACAGGCTCATTCTTCCTTATGGCCAAATACATGAGCAAAGTGGCTACACACTTACACATTAATTAATCACATAAAAGAATTTCCAGGTTCCAAACTTTCAACTAACAAACCTTCCCTCTCCCCCAGTCTTTTTCACTTCCATTAGGGAAAGTCCCTTCCAAGATGACATCGTTTCAGTCTACAAGTACTGTCTTTTTGCTCCTTCCTTTCACCCCTTCCCAATCTCACCCTGATCATTTGCAGATCTGTAGCAGAATATTCCTTTCTCAAGATTTACTGTGTTTGCCTATAAATGAAACACACCCCAGTTGCTGCTAACCTGGATGCTTTCACCAGTCACCACCAGCCAGCGCAGATTCAGATTCCTAGATGTCATCGCAGATTTCACCAAATACTTCAACCTCCACCACCCTAGACTCATATACCTTCTGCAACCGAATTGTACTATTTCAACTCCTGGGGAAAAAAATCATTAACGCTATAGGCAGGAAGATGTTTCATTTGCGGGGGAGGGGAAACAGGCGGCTATGATATTGAATTGATACCCATTTCTGCTGAGTTTATGAATGGTGCTAAGCAACTATTTCTCGAATGCTGAAATAGGCTCATTCTTCCTTATGGCCAAATACACGAACAAAGTGGCTCCACACTTATACATTAGTTAATCACATCAAAGAATTTCCAGGTTCTGAACATTCAACTAACAAACCTTCCCTCGCCCAGTCTTTTTCACTTCCATAAGGGAAAGTCCCTTCCAAGACGACATCGTTTCAGTCTACAAGAACTAACTCCCAGAGGACACTAACTTAAATCCCTGAGATGTCTTAGGAATTGTTGTATACCACATCTGTTGTGAAGACTCACGATGCTAAACACTCTTTGAAATTATGCTGTTGGAAATACTAGTTTTGTTTAAGAGCATTCCTTATACTTAATTTCTCACAAAACGTGTGCATTTGTGTGTGTCTAAGACAGACAGACAGAAAGATATCCCCCAAGGAACCAGTGTTCTAAGGGATATAATGTAGAAATATTGGGCTGGCCAAACTTCTACGAGTTCCTTTATTCATTTTCTCTCCAATTTCATAATGTAGCTAAATGCTAAGCCCTTTGCCTCTCTCCACAAACGCCATCACTCCTGATACTTTTATGTTGACTAGGCAACCTTACATCCTAATATTGCTCCCTTTGATTACATTACATCTTCTTCTTGTGAATCTCTTCCCTCCCTCTGCTGAACCCACTCCATCCCCACTGCCAGGTCTTCATCCACTATACCTCACCACACTATATAATAAATACATTTAGCTCTGGTTTCCCTTCTAAGCCTGTATTTTCATTCCACGTCCAGACAGACCATTACTTTCTCAACTTTTTCACCTGCATACTTCAGAAGCATCTTAGATGAAACATATTTCAAAATCAAGTCAGGTTTTCTTCCTCTAAATCTTCAGTGATCCTCATTCCAGTAAACTGGAAAACTCGTCACCCACCCAGAAAGCTGGGGGTTATCCTAAACATCTACTCATATTTCACTTCCACATCCAGTGAATCACTGAGTCTCAGATCCACCTCCACTGCCACCATCCTTGTCCAAACCGCCATCTCTCAACTCAACTATTCTAATATCCTGATTGGTCTCCCCTAAATCATCCCTGACTCTCTCTAACACATGTTCTATGAAGTACTTAATGTGATTGTTTTTAAAAGGTGCAAATCAGAGCATGTATATCCTATTCAAAACTTTTTACTGATTAACAATTATTTTTAGAATAATACCTGGACATAATGGTACAAACAAACATAGGGAAGCAATGAAGGGTGGAAAGAAGGCAGACTGGCCAACGACCTCACAGTATCATTAACAGCATGGTGATGAACTTCCTGAGTTTTCTATTTTCTTCCCATTTATCCCAGAGTGGGTGCTAAAGAAGCTTAGAACCTGGAACCACCAGCAGATACATGGAAAAAAAAAAGAAAAAGAAAAAGAAAAGCCAGTTTCCTTCCTCCAGACAAAGGACTAGGAAAAAAGTGGTCTGCCAGAGCAGAAAACCTTTCTCTTAATACCTGCCCTAGGCCAAACACCAAATGAAAAACTGTCCCATTGAGGTGTTAAGTGAAGAGCTGAACTGTCACTCCAGCGCTATGAAGTGGAGCAAGTGGGTATGAGGCAGTGCTACTTAATACAAGGCCTACTCCAACTTCCCATCAACCTGGTATCTGGGGGCCCAGTGGGCAGCCAAACTTCCACCCAGCAGCAACAAGGAAGAAAGAGGTGATCTGAGGTGGCGCAAATGAGCAACTCAATCTAACTAGAAAGCGGGAAAAAGACATAAACAGACATATCGCCAGAGAGAATACATGGATGACAAGTTAGCACATGAAATGATGTTCAGCCTCATTGACCATTAAGGAAATGCAAATTAAAATCATGATGGACTATCACTACAAATCTATTGTAACAGCTAGAATAAAAATTAGTAACCATACCAGGGATGCAGCAAAATTGGACCTCTCATATATTGCTGCTGAGAATGGAAAATGGTACTACCATTCTGGAAAACAGTTTGTCAGTTTCTTAAAACGTAAATATACACAACTTGTAACACAACAATTGCAGTCCTGGGCATTTATCACACAAAAAAAGAAAACTTAAGTCGACATGCAAAAAATTATGTACATACATGTTCATAACAGTTTTGTGTGTAATACCCAAAAACTCAAAACACCCCAAATGCCTTTCAGTAGGTGAAAGATTAAACAAATGTTAGTATGTTCATACCATGAAATACTACTCAACAATAAAATGAAATGAACTACTGAGGCACTCAACACTTGAGTGGATCTCATGGAAATTATACTGAGTGGAAAAAAGCTAATCTTAAAAGGTTATATACCGTATGATTCCATTTATGTCACATTCTCAAAATGACAAAATTATAGCGATGGAAACAGATTATTAACTACCAGGGGTTAGGGATGGAGAAAGAGATGGTGTAATTACAAGGGGGTAGCACAAGGGATCTTTTGGGTCATGGTTTTGGGTGATGGAATCATTTTACATCTTTCTTTTCTTTTTCTTTTTAGATGGAGTCTCCCCAGGCTGGAGTGCAGTGGCATGATATCGGCTCACTGCAACCTCTGCCTCCTGGGTTCAAGCAATTCTCCTGCCTTAGCCTCCTGAGCAGCTAGGACTACAGGTGCGTGCCACCACACCAAGCTAATTTTTTACTTTTAGTAGAGACAGGGTTTCACCATGTTGGCCAGGATGGTCTCAATCTCTTGACCTTGTGATAGACCTCGTGATCAGCCCGCCTCAGCCTCCCAAAGTACTGGGATTACAGGCATGAGCCACCCACTCGTCCTGTTTTACATCTTGATTGTGCTGATAATTATAGGAATCAACATGTGACACGAGTGCATAGAACTGTACATGCATATGTGTGTACATGATGCCCACACCCAGTAGGAGTGCATGCAAAATTGGTGAAATCTAAAAAAGGTCCACGGATCATACCAATGTAATTTTCCAGGTTTTGATGTTATACTATAGTTTTATAAGATGCTATCATTGGGGAAAACTGGGTATATGGGACACAGTGTACTATTTTTACAAAGTCCTCTGAATCTATAATGAGTCTAAAATAAAAACTTGAAAGAAAAAAAACAAAATGAGCCATTGATCATCCGTTCTATTTTGTCCCCAAATCTGTTCATCATTTTGAACATCCAATCCCAGCTATGGTGATCCAAATACCCAAGAAAGAAGCCTGTGTATGGTCTCCTGTCTCCCACATCCTGTTACCAACATTTCCTGTTGAGTCTTCCCCTGAAAAACATCTTAGAAACAGACTTCTCCCTCTCACTCTCATTGCTACCCCACAGCAACCTGTCCACATCCATCCCTGCCAGTCTCAATCCCTGCCCCTCCTCTGACTCCCATTTCCCTAGGCACTACTTGTCAGCAACACAAAATTCCTCACCTAAAACACATTATAGATTTTTACATCCATGCCTTTGATCATACTGCTCCATCTGCTGGGTCTTTATCTCTTCTCTGCAGCATATTATTGACCAACATTTAAGAACAATCCCAGATACTGCCTCTCTATGAACATCCTTCTACCTCCCCGAAGATCAAGTCCTTGTTGCCTTTTCAGCAACTGCCCCACTCTTTCCAAAGAACTCTATCTAGCACTTAAGAACAATAGGTTTTAATTATTTGGTTTCATGTTTGTCATCCACATTACATCCAAAGCTCTTCAAAGAGGTGAATATAAGATTCATTTTTGTAATACCAACACCTAGAACAGTGCCTGGCACACAGTAGGTTCACTCTAAATATTTATTGGAGGGGAAAAAAGATCTCGTGGTTTGGTTCTCTCATTTTATTTGAGTATGTAAAAACCCTATATATATGTTATGCATGAAATGGCCTTTTGTGTGTTGGACTGGGGACTTCCCAGCACATTTAAGGGAAAATACTTTTGCATTATTAAAGGGCCACTTAAATACATTTTTACACATTCCACATTCAAGAGTTTATGGGTGGTCTATATACTACTTGTTGATCTCGTCTCATCTTGAAAACTAGCTTTTCAAGAGATCTACATTTTATGGTCCACTGACTCACACACTACAGCTCCACAGATCTTTCTTCTCCGGGTTACATTAAATAATTTTCATATTTTAAAATGCCAAGGACTGAGGAGAACTTTCAAAAGAATGATCAAATATACCATAGCAACCTAAAGTTGTATATCCAATGGCTGAACAGCTCCTCAGGGACCTGAAAGTCTTGAACACTTGTATGTTGGCAAATGTGAGAAAACAAGAAATTCAGAGCCAAATACTCATGTAATACCATCTGGAATCACTCAAGTTCCTAAATAAGTTCAGTGAAGAAAAACATGATAGGAGTTCTACATCCTTATTAAGAGAGTTGACTATTTATTCCTTTAATAAATTTATTGCCCAGTTAAATTTCAGTTGTTGCAATCATGGGAAGTAAGAAGGGAAGGTTGATGACCCTATCAAACATAATACATCAAAACCATCAAATGTTTTTACTGTTCATGCATAATTTTAAGTTAGGATCCAGCTTTAGTCATAACCAAGGTTTTTAGCAGGCATGAGAACAATTATGTTTGCTACCATTCAAAAACCTCTACCTTATATGACCACACAGGCCAAACCTGAAAGTCTTATATATAAACTACAATATGCTTAGTCTTAAGTCCATTCCTGTAACATCAGCAGAATAAAGGAATTTGAAGACAGCCTAGTGAACATTTATGGCATCAGGTTGGCAAAATTTACTGGGGTTGCTAGCCAACTGCACCATTTCCCTAATGCTTGCCTGCCATCAAGGAAAATTACTGGAAAATGTTTACTCTATGTGTGTCAGAAGAAACTGTCCTCCCAGAAGAGCTGAATAGTTATTAAAGAGTGAATGCGCAGGAAACACTTTTGTATTCCACTAAGCTAAAAGGCTTGTTAATGTTCTCAAAGAGACAAACGAGGCAGATCACAGAAGAACAGAATTTATGTAAAAACAATGGCTGGTAGAGGCAGACAGGGAACTTACAAACAATTCAACACCACACACAAGGATGTGCAATTCATGTTCTCCTGAGCAAAGACCTCCTGAGAAACCAAAAAAAGTCATAATAAAAGGAGAAGCAAACAAGGGTTTCCATTATCAAACAGGTTTACATTTAGAACTGAAAACATGAGGAAAAATAGCGGCAAGGATCAAAGCTAGGATGAAACGAACATGAAAGTATTCCAAAATTTTTACATTTATTAAGGATTTATTCTCCAGCTATTTTTATAAAGAACTTGAGGAGGACAACAATAACAGTGATCCTTTTGCTTCTCCTCTTTCCTCTCTCTTTTTAAAAAGTAGAAATTTGGACTATTTTTTCATTTCAGGTCAGTACATATTGAAGACAGGCCTGTGATTTAAAATAGGTCAGTAGTTGAACCTAGCATTTCTGAGGGAAATGTGAATCTGGCATAGACGTAATACAGCAACCCTCCCTTTCTCCCTTTCTCTCCTTTCAATTCAAGCAATATTTGCACTCCTTGCTACAGATGGATGCCATATTTCCCCTCCCAAAACACCACAGTCTTTATGATCTACTCCCCCTTTTTTAAGGTTGGTACTTAAAGTGCCTTATGATGTGTTTTCTGTTAAACTACTATTCATAGAATGCTAGCAGTGGAATTCTTATATGATAATTAAAATTGTATGCATATTGTAGCTCCCCAACAAAATTACTTTTTCCTTGCAGAGGACAGTAATAGATACCAGCATCTTCCTTAGTAGCTTTTTATGTACAAAAGCATAATTTGAAAAAAAATGTACACGTTAAATATTTTTCAGGATGTTAACATACACTATTTTTTTTCTGAGACAGAGTCTTGCTCTGTTGCCCAGGCTGAAGTGTGCAGTGGCTCAATCTTGGCTCACTGCAACCTCCACCTCTTGGGTTCAAGCAATTCTCCTGCCTCAGTCTCCTGAGTAGCTGGGACTACAGGCACACATCGCCACGCCCAGCTAATTTTTGTATTTGTATTTCTAGTAGAGACGGGGTTTCACCAGGTTGGCCAGGCTGGTTTCGAACTCCTGACCTCAAGTGATCCACCTGCCTCAGCCTCCCAAAGTGCTGGGATTACAGGTATGAGCCACCGTGCCCGGGCAGTATACACTATTTTATATACATTATTTTAATATTAATTAAATATCTTATATCATATTTTAAGGTACACAGAGCTGTCCAGGAATAAAACCATGCTGCAGTATCTAAGAAAAACTCTACTTCAAATTTACTGTTGACTATTTTGGAAAATCTCATTAATGGTGATAAAACCATTGTTAGATATTGTATTCAAGGTGATTATAAATACCTTAACAAATATGTACTTCCTTATATCTTCTGGTTCAATCACACATAAGCATTCACATACTTAAATACATCATATAATATTATACATTACTGCACTACTTTATATTAAGTGTCAGACATTAGGTGACTTAAGTTATGTATATAGATTTATTATCCATACATTTCTTTTCAGAATAGTGAAAAGGGCGTTATGCATATTTGTTAGAAAAAGGAAGCATCAGTGGTTCCCACTTGGATGGGAGAAAAAGGAAGCATCGGATGGGTAGAATGGAGAACTAATGGCCTGCTCTAACAACACCCATCCAGGACGACTCATCGTTTTGTAGACAGCTCACTTAGTAAAGACCTCCCAAAAGAAAGGGTAAGTGGTAACTGGTCATCTAAAAAGCAAATGTTGCAATAGGAAGTGACATAGCAAATTCCAAGGGATTAATTTCTGTATTGAGCCTTGTACTTCAGAACAAGATGCATGGGTGGGTAAGGAGAAGGAAAAGGTCAGGAACAGGAAGAAGTGCTGGGGAGTTCTAAAAATAATCTCTTAAGTCTTTTGCATTGACATATAAGGAAAACACTAATCTTGATGTGCAAATTGATAAGTGTGGAGGTAAAGTGTGTAGGGCAGCGATCTGATCAGTTCGAGAAGTGCATTTTCCTTGGGCTAACAGATTCTATAATACATTGTTACTCTGCTTTCTGTTACAATGACCAAGAAAGCAATAGTCTTTATTTCAAATGTAAAAGTAAACACTGATAATCAAATGTACTTTGTGGAACATCTGATCACAGAATTACTCTTTCTTCCAAGAAACAATGCCATCATTAAAATCATGATCAAAGCCCTGGTATTTTAAAAGAAATTCTATTTAAGAGAACTTGTCAAGGGTAGCGTTCTAACTGCCATAAACAATTATTTGCATTCATCTGGTAAATGTTTTTTGTAGTGCTTACTATGTGCCAAGGAGATACAATACTAAGGAAAAACAACAGAACTTTCATCAGATCAGAGAGAATGGGAGTAAAGAAAAGTGAATATGCGTACAATGTCTAGGTTTACAAGCATTCTAAAGACAAGGTGCATGTTGCTGTATGAGCCTGAAATGGAAGGATTTGATACAAAGAATTCCTAAGGAAGAAAAGAATGACAACTGAAGATTCAGGAGACTTTTACTAGAAGGAGATGGTAAGTGGAAATCTCCTGCCTGAAGGAACACCTTTTGTCAGTGCTGTTCTAGTGGTAGGATCTGCATGGTTTTGAGAAACTAAAAGGGGGTGGGTGGCTGGAGAGCAGAGGGCTACAAGATGGTAAAGTGGACGGACCATGCAAAACTAAAAACAAATGTGAAGGAGAAGTGCTCAGAGAACCTACCCGCCTACAAAAAGTAAATGGCCATAAATTCCACAATGTGAACATGAAACTGCTCTCTGCTCTACAATGTCAGCCTTTTGGATGTCAACTAATAAAAGAAAAATATCATATTAAAATAAGAGAAAGCCAGCATGGTGATGCATGCCTGTAGTTCCAGCTATTTGAGAGGGTGAGGCAAGAGGATCACTTGAGTTCAGCAGTTCAAGGCTGTAGTGAGCTATGATCACACCACTGCACTCCAGCCTGGCCAAGAGAGCGAGACCTTGTCTCTTAATAAAATAAAGTAAAATAACAGGAACGACATATAAGAACAATCCCGGATCATTTATTTCCACATATTTCCAATGCAGCTGTGTTAATCTTTTAATTTTCATTTTCCAGGAATTTATGCAATATAGTTGGTTTATCCAAAAGAAGCATAACTATCAAAAAATCAGTCAATAATTTTATGATGTGACAGGCAGTGTCACACCTTAGATTAACAAGAAAGAAATATAATTTCTGATTTTTTATTAAGTTTATAGAGTCAATCTGTAAGTGATTCAAGATCCAAAGCTTTTCTTTTTTTTTAATTCTGAAATTCACCTTAAGCACGTTTATGGTTGAAAATGAGCATACTTGCAGGGATTCCATGAACCAACTCAATAAAACAATGAAATTTGAGAGTATGGTTTTAAAACAGCTATGTGGGGAAAGTCAATACTCCTCTCATTTTTGTTTGAAGAAACTGATGATTAAATGTTGCTTAAAACATGAATCAATTAAATTCCTCTAGGAAGTTATGGGAACACAGAACAGTTAATCCAATTCATTTTCACTAATGTAATATGGTATACACTTTTGAGGATGCTGTATCATGTGGCATGCATGATACCCTTCTTCCAGATTCAAGTTTATGGTATGTCAACTACTACCCTAGTAATCTTTAAGCAAAGATTGCTAAAACTATAAAGTATGCCTGTGAAATCCAATCCTGAGAAGTGTAAATTTAGATCTCTAATTCTTTCTACTTTACCTGCTTTTTTTTCTTCCTTCTAATTGGATTAGAACTGTTTAATGACAAAGGGGGTGTTGAATTTTTTCCCTTCCTATCTTTTTTCATGTATTTTTCTTCAGTTGAACTGCTAATAGTATTCATGTCCAGGTTTTGGTCTGGTTGAATACTTAAGATTTTTTGTTTATTTGTTTCTTAAATATGAAAGAAAGAAAAAAATGATTTTCAGAAAAACACAATGCAACTGATAGTTATACATGAATATTTTAACAGACACATTTTTGAATTGAAGTTAGTCATTCAACACACTTAAAAAAATGAGTAATTTTCCTCATCTGCTCCCTCATTCCCCACACCACAGTCTACTGCTTCCTATCCACCTCACAAGCTCACTTTGCCATATAAGGAGTATATTTCAAGATTCAGAAGCAATAGATATAGTTAACCAACTGTAAATATTATATACTGCTTAGGAAAAGATCTTACTCTCTGAACTTAATGACAGTCAATAACCCTAAATAAACTGTAATGATTTTTGTTTTTAAAAACTCACTAGGTTGTACTGCATTTAGTAACTATGTGGTTTCTCTAGGTTTTAATTCCTCAGTAAACAGGAATTGAGTCCTCAGGATTGTGGTTTTTGAAATTAGGGTGTGTTTAGATTTGGAGGCTAACCAAGATTCATTCACATCTAGAAGAGAAAGCTCACTGCCAAACATATGCAATCAGGAGAGAAAAAAAGATTACATTCTAAATAAGGTTTGTATAACAAATACTTCCATCTGTTTCACAGAGATCAAATAGAATTACTTTAAAACAGACCAATGACATTTAAGCATCTGGCAAAAAGAAAGTGTGTTGTATTTATGGGAAAGGATTTAGGTTAGCGATATTTTTTTCTTCAAGGATAAGAAGTGGAATGCCAAATAAGATTATTACCCATATATTTAATTTAAAAATTGAGTTTAAATATGTTTATTTTTTCTAGATAAAATTCACATGTACCCTCAAATGTTATTATTAAACTATTAAGGCAAAATTAAGACTATTCAGCTATCTTTCAAACACTGTGTCAGACCTGAAGTTAATAATTACCATTACACCAACATGATAAAGTTGGAAAGATTTCCAAAGAGGACTCAAGCCAAGTCTAAGCCCGTGCATGTCACTTTTTGTTTCTAGAGACACTTTCATATGAGCATGACACCTACCATATTAAGTCACAAACACACGTGACTGTCATGCCAGATGAGACCATACCTCCTAAAACCTCAACCCTCCCTACCATCTGTGCCAGTTACTGCCTCTCATCCCTCAGTTTGCCTTCTAGAACTGAATCCGAGATAACGGACTGGACTCAGCAGCTCCCGGTCCCCCTTTACAGTGAATATGAGGTTATGCTTTGCCAGTAGGAGGTGATGGAGGGGCACTGCTAGAGGAAGGGGGTCCTCTTCCTGACTCTGGTATGCAGTTTGCCTTTTCTGCAGCACAATTGGTCAGCGGTGTGGGTGTATAATGACATCTGGGGGTGCTCTGCCACACCCCAGCAGCATACCCGGAGTGCAGAGCCCTTTGGCAACCTTGCAGTCCTGACCTAGACTCAGTGACCAGTTTGCCTCCAATGCAGACACCACGCACTGTGCACCTGCACCAGCCAAGGCTTGCCTGTGCCCTGAGGTTTGTTTCCTGGGCCCTCCCTACATAGATACTGTACACTCTGGGCTTCACGTTCACTGTAGCATCCTAACTCCTGCATGCCTGCCCACTAGCTAGAGTTCACCTGCCCCCAGAAGTGTGTTTTCTTGCTTGCCCAGAGACGTGACCAGCTATGGCCCAGGCAAACCAGTGGGCTGCAAACACACCTTCTCCAATGAAATCTGCACCCCAGTCTTAGAGAGGGGACCCCCTTCCAAGCTTATCCGAACTTGGGTATGCTTACTCATCCCTAGGGTGCTGTTAAAGTTATCACTATATTCTTGTACTCTTCCATCATAGGTTAATCATTCATTATAATAAACTCTTCTGCTTATATTAGTCTGTGGTTTATGTCCCAATTGAACCCATACTGTTAGACTTTCTAACACTCATACCCTCACTCTCCACCTTCTGCCTTGAGACTACTAGACCCCTGTGTCTGCATATCAATTATGAAGGAACAGACCACTCAAACCTAACATAACCACAGAATTCTCATTGCCCCATTTTCTACCAAGCTGCTTCCACTTATCAGCTAATGGCAATCCCTTCCTATTGCCCAGGCCAAAAATTGTGGGATCACTCTCAATTTCTTGTTTTCTCTCACAGTCCATACCCAGCCCGCTGGCAAATTCTACTGGCATATTCTTCAAAATAGTTCCAGAATCTGACCACTTCTCAGCAGCTCCACTGTGTACACTGAGGTCCAAGCCACTATCATCTCTTAACTGAGGTCCAAGCCACTATCATCTCTTAACTCTGAAAGGTCTCTGACACTCCACCTTGCTTCTCACAGTCTATTCCTAGTTGTCAGAACTTCTTACAGGGGTGTCCAAGGGACAGAATACAGTCGTGGGTTCTTAGTTTCTGTTTCTGGTTGGGCCAGTAAAGCCCCGTCCTCGTCCCTCTTTTCTGCTTATCACTAGACACGAAACTAAACACCATGGCTTCAGGCTGCTAAAAGCCTGAAACAAAACAAAACAGAATGACAACAACAAAATAAAGCGAGTTGGACAAGCTTTGAAACATGAATCCTCTAGCCAAAACTGTGTGTTAACTTCCCATTTTACTCAGAGAAAAAGTTCAAGTCTTACAAAGTTCTACAAGTCCCTAGAGGGGCTAGTCCCCACCAATTTATCTCTAAGTAACTTCTACAATGTTCCCCTCCCTTGTGCCATTTCAGCTGTGTGGGCTTCCAGCTGTTCCCTGAATATATCAGACTTGCTCACACTTCAGGCATGATATGGTCTCTTAGATTTACACATGGCTTCTCTTCCTCATCTCCCGCAATTCCTAGTTCAAATGTCATCTTTCAAATAACAACCATATTTAAAATTGTACCCACCATCCTGGGCAACATCCTTTCCCTCACATTGACTTTTTTTCTCTTTAACACAGAATATTTTAAAAACTATAATGTACCTAATAGCCACAATAATTAATTAATTAATTAAATACCTAGGAATACCAAGAAGGTGAATGATCTCTATAAGGAGAACTACAAAACACTGCTGAAAGAAATCATAGACGACACAAACAAATGGAAAAGCATTCCATGCTCATGGGTTGGAAGAATATCATTAAAATATCCATACTGCCTGAAGCAATCTACTGATTCAATGCTATTCCTATCAAATTACAAACATCATTTTTCACAGAATTAGGAAAAACTATTCTAAAATTCAAATGAAACAAAAAAGAGCCCCAATAGCCAAGGCAATCCTAAGTAAAAAGAACAAAGCCAGAGGCATCATATTACTGGGCTTCTAACTATACTTCAAGGCTACAGTTACCAAAACAGCATGGTACAAAAATAGACATACAGATCAATGGATCAGAACAGAGATCCTTGAAATAAAGTTGCATACCTACAACCAACTCATCTTTGACAAAGTTAGCAGAAATAAACAATGGAGAAAGGACACCCTGTTCAATCAATGGTGTTGTGAAAACTGGCTAACCATATGCAGAAGAATGAAACCGGACCACTACCTCTTACCACACATAAAAATTAACTCAAGATGCATTAAAAACTTAAAAGTAAGACCTCAAACTATAAAAACTCTGGGAGAAAAGCTAGGAAATACTCTTTTAGACATTGGTCTAGGCAAACATTTATGATGAAACCCTAAAAACAAATGCAACAAAACCAAAAATAGAGAAATGGCACAATTAAACCAAAGAGAGCTTCTGCACAACAGAAGAAACTCTTGACAAGAATAAACAGATAACCAACAGAATGGGAGAAAATATTTGCAAACTATGCATCTGACAAAGGACTAATATCCAGAATCTATAAGGGATTTAAATGAATCAACAAGAAAAAAGGAAACAACCTCATTAAAAAGTGGCAAAGGACAATAAAAGACATTTCTCAAAAGATGATAACAAGCAGCTAAACTTAAGAAAAAGTACTCAGCATGACTAAACACCAGAGAGATACAAATCAAAACCACAATGAGATGCCATCTCACACCAGTGAGAATGGCTATTACTAAAATGTCAAAAAATAACAGGTGTTACAGAGGTTGTGAAGACAAGGAAATGCTTATACACTGTTGGTGGGAATGCAAACTAGTCCAGCCACTGTGGACAGCAGTTTGGAGATTTCCCAATGAACTAAAAATAGAAATACCATTCAATCCAGCAATCCCATTAGTGGGTATATATTCAAAGGAAAATAAATCATTCTACCAAAAAGACACAGGCACTCGTATGTTCATCACAGCACTATTTGCAATAGCAAAGACGTGGAATAAACCTAGATGTCCATCAACAGTGGACTGGATAAAGAAAATGTGGTACATATACCCCACGGAATGCTACAACACCATGAAAAGAATGAAGTCATGTTCTTTGCAGAAACATGGATGCAGCTAGAGACTGTTATTCCATATGCAGAAACATATCACATGTTCTCACTTACAAGTAGGAGTTAAATTTTGGGTTCACATAAAGATGGGAACACTAGAAACTGGGGACTCCAAAAGGAGGGAGGGAGAGGAACAAGGGCTGAAACATGTCCTGTTGGATACTATGTTCAGCTTCTGGGTTATGGGATTAACGGAAGCCCAAACCTCAGCCCCACTCAATATGCCCTTGTAACAAACCTGCACATGTATCCCTTGAATCTAAAATTAAAATGGATTTTAAAAAAAGAAAATAAAAACTATAAGCAGCCGGGTGCGGTGGCTCACGCCTGTAATCCCAGCACTTTGGGAAGCCGAGGTGGGTGGACCATGAGGTCAGGAGTCCGAGACCAGCCTGGCCAACATAGTGAAACACCATCTCTACTAAAAATACAAAAATTAGCTGGGCATGGTGGTACATGCCTGTAATCCCAGCTACTCAGGAGGTTGAGGCAGGAGAATCACTTGAACCCAGGAGGTGGAGGTTGCAGTGAGCCGAGATCACGTCACCGCACTCCAGCCTGGGTGACAGAGCAAGATTTCACCTCAAAAAAAAAAAAAAAACTTACAAGCATATCTAGTCTAGAAAACTGTATGACTAATGACTTTAAAACAATTATGCTGACCTTATAATGGTTTATATCCTATTACAATAATGATGCTACACTACTAAGATGACCTTTTCATGTAATAATTCTTATGACAAGAAGTATAAGTGGAAGAGATACATAAAAGGGATATACATGTAATTATTTGGTAATAAGTAAAATAGTAACTATGTTAAATTAAAAATACACAATAGACACATTCCTTGGCATTATACAATAGCTACGTTTCTGCAAGTCTGGATTTATTTAGACTGCACTATAGTAGCATTTTCCAAACCACGTAATACTATTGTTTTCACTAGATTAATAATTTAATTGAAGGAAGAATATAGTTTAAAATGTCCTCCACTTGGAAACTACCACTTTATTAGGCATACATTATGGCTCTGCACAGTTTTATTTTTAACTTTAACTTATTTGATTAACTTATTTTTAACCTGTTTGATTATGCAACATGTTTTTTACTATAGACTACAAAACAATAGTGTTTCACTGAACCCAGTTTGAAAAACACAATACTGGGAAACGCATGCTTTCAAAAATGAATGAGTTTCTTTCTCAGCAAAACCTAGATTGAATATATCTTGTATTACAGAGAGTAATAAGCTCATTTAAATGTTAAATGAAAAGAAATGATTAAATACAGTTACACAGACTATGTTGTCCAAGATACAAAATTATCCAATGTGCCAAAATAGAGGAAAATCTGACTAAATCTCAAAGGAAAATACAATCAACAGATGCCAACCTCAAGATGACCCAGATGTTCATATTATCAGACAACGTCTTTAGAAAAGCAGCTATTATAACTATGCTCCATGATATGAACAAAAATATATTAAGAATGAATGAAAAAATTAGAAACCCCAGAAAGGATTCTGGGAAGATAGCAGAGTAGAAAGTGCCAGGGATCTATTTCCCCATCTAGACAATTGTACTAGCAGAATCTGTTGGAAACTTTGGGGTCTACTGTTGGTCTTACAACTTCCAAAGAAAGGCTTGGAGCTTAAATTACAGTTAATTTTAGTCAATGTCAGCTCTTAGCAGATCAGCAGCTACCTATCCCCCACTCCCGGCCCTGTGGCAGGCAGCTGTGCACGCGCTTCTGGAGCAACCTGCACACAGCCTGCAGGAGCCAAAGTGAGCCAACCTCCCAATGTCCTCACCTTCCAAATATAAAGGATCTGTGCTCTGATCCCTGATTACTGCTTCTGATCACTCAGGTGCAAACAAAGAAGCAGGAGGCCATTGTTGAGCCTCTGTCCCCCCACTGTAGTTGCCCCTCCTTATCTGGTTGAAGTGACAGCTGGGGGATTAAACGGCCAGAGCCCTCTTTTTTCCATGATTCCTTTTAATCTTTCCCACCTTTTGGGAGCCAGACATTAAAGATTAGGACATTTAAAAGCAACTGTATATATATCGGGAAAATTAGAAAGTGACCACTTGTGCCCAGGGAAAGGTGCAGGCTGAAAAATGCCCTGAGAAGACCTTAAGTTTACACTTCAGGCTTATCCTTGGCACAAAGATAAACTACAAAAATCAAAAAACAACAAATAAAAACAATTAATAAAAACCCAGCAAACCCTTGGGAAGAGGGAGAATGTGATTTCCAGAATTACATTGTTAAATTCAAATGTCCACTTTTCAAAATAAAAAAGAAAGAAAATCACAAGACATACAAAGAAACAAAAGTATGCACCATTCAAAGGATAAAGATAAATCAATACAAATTATCCCTGAAAAAGACCTGATGGCAGAGTAAAGACAAAGGCTTTTTAAATTTTGTTTTAAATATGCTCAAAGAACTAAAGAAAGCAAGCCAAGAAAACAATGTACAGACAAAATGGCAATATTAATAAAGAGATAGAAAACCTGAAAATAAATCAAAAAGAAGGTGAAAAATACAATAACTGAAAAGAACTGAAAAATACAATAACTAACATAAAATAATGCACAAAGAGAATTTAAAGACGGATTTGAGGAAGCAAAAGAATGAATCCATGAACTTGAAGATGGATCAGAAAGTATCAACTCTAAAGAACAGAAAAAGAAAAATGGAAGAAAAGTGAAGACAGCCTCAGGAAGCCGTGAAACACCACCAAGCAGACCAAATATGCATTATGGAAGTCCTAGAAGAAAAAGAGAGAAAGGAACAGAGAGGATATTTTTAAAAAATAATGGCTGAAAACTTGTCCAATTTGATGAAAGATGTGAACATAAACATCCAAGAAGCTTAATGAACTCAAAATGATGTTAATCCAAAGAGCCCTACATCGAGATACATTATAAACAAACTTTTGAAAGACAAAGTCAAAGAGAGAATATTAACACTAGCAAGAAAGAAGTAACTGGTCACACACAAGAAATGCTCAATAAGAATCTCTGCAGATTTCTTGTCACAAATTTGGGAGACCAGAAGGCAGTGGTCTGATATATTCAAAGTACTGAAACAAAATAAAGTTTCAACCAATAATTCTATATCCAGTAAAACTATCCTTTGACTATGAGGGAAAAATTATGACATTCCAGATATACTAAAGCTGGAAAAGTTTATTATCACTCGATCTGTACCACAAGAAATGCTCAAGGGAGTCCTGCAGGATGAAATGACAGGACACTAGACCATAACTCAAAGCTGTATGAAGAAATACAGATGTGAGCACGTCAGCTACTTTAACTATTATAATCAGTCTCTCTCACTTGACGAAGACAAAGCAAATTCTCTTTGTGATCAAGAAAAACCAAGGTCCCCAAAGATCATCTGAGGCAGGAGAGCGCAGCCTCAGGGTACAAAAGGCTCAGTTACTTTCCTGGAATAAGAAGGGAAATATACTTCTTTTTACTTAATTTTCTGATTTTTTTTTTTTAGTCATAGAGACAATAACAAAAACAAATATCTTGCTCTACATAGAAATTATCTTTCTATATTATTGTATAATGGTAATATAACCCTATTTTTATTTTCACTATATTTATATCCATATAGGGCATAAAAATGTATGGGAAAAGTGTCAGCTAACATTTTTATGTGAAAGAAATTAAACTTTAGTAGCTTGAAACTCTAATTATTAATTTTCATAATCTTTTGGCCTAGGTTGATTTGTCTGATAGTTATACTTAGATATCAGGCAAATCTGACTAGACCCAAGTGTTGGACCCATTAATGTGTCTGATGGTTGGAAAACTGGTTTTGAAAGAGTTTCTCTAGAATGTATGACTAAGGGTGTAATTACTGGACTAATTATATTAGATATTGCAAATTGCTTCCCATTGAGATTATACCAAATTATATTAATATAGTATATAATAGTTACTAATTTTTCAAATGCTCTTCAACATTTGATACTGTCAAACTTTTTCACTGGAGATGAAGAAGTATCTTACTGATGTCTTATTTCCATTTTCTTGCTTTCTATTGAGAATACACACTTTTTCTTGTATTTATTGGACATACCAGTTTACTTTTTTTGAGTTGCCTTGTTATCTCTTTTATTCATTTTTCTTTGGACTTGTCCCTTGATAAGTGTAAGAATTTTTCAATATTCTGGGTCCCGATTTTCTGAGGGCCCAGGTATTGCAAATTTCTTTTTCTAGCTTCTGGTTTATCTTTTAAATGTGTGTAGGTGCCTTTTAAAAAACTGAACATAACTATTCAATTTGTAACAAAAATTATCAATGTTAACAAAGATAAGGAGTCTCAAAAAAAGAACTATTAATGAAAATTCTAGGAAAATTATAGCATTAGAAATAAAATGTTTTCATTTGAGAGGTTGAATAAAAGAATAAAGACAGCAAAAGAAAGAATCAGTGAAAGTACACAATATGATGAACAGAAAGAAAAAAATGATGGAAAATCTAATGAACAGAATCTCAGGGACTTGTGAAAAAGTACTCAAGATGTAACATGTATGTCATTAGTAAGCCAGAGAGGAGAGAAACTGGGAGAACAGAGTACAAAAGAATAGTTTCAGGTTGAAGGACGAGAGATGGAAACTGTCAAATGTGGTGAAAAATCACAATTATAATCAGGAAGTCCATCAAACTCAATCAGAATACAAGAAAACCATGCCTACTTATATTACAATAAAACTGATTAAAACCCAATAAAAAGAAAAACCTAAAGGCAGTAGAAGGGGAAAAAAATGACAATTTATGTATTAATACAAAGTAACAATGATGGCAGACTTATCATCAGAGACAAGGTAGATCGGAGGTAATTGGGATATCTTTATTATGCTGAAAGAAAAAAACTGTCAACCCAGACTTCTATATCCAATTTTAAAATGTCCTTCAAAAAAAAGGAAGGTGAGATAAAAAAAATTCTAAGATGAAAGAAAATTAAGAAAATTCATCACTGAAAAGATGTGTTTTCAAAATACACTACAGATACTTCCTTAGGCTAAAGAAAAACGATATAAAATGATACTGGAGGGAAACTTGGTCTTAACAAAGGAAGAGCTTCAGAAATGGGGGAAATGTAGCTAAATATAAAAAAACTATATTTAAATATGTTTAATTATTTAAAAATACAATCACATACAGATGCTACTCACGTCACAACAAAATAAGTTAAATGGAGCAGGAGAGGCAGCAAAAAGCCCTATATGGAGTCAAGGTTTCTATATTTTATATGAAAATTCTATCTAAGTAGAGTATAAAAGGTTAGGAATATACATTGTGATTCCTAGCATAACTGAAAAATATGTGACACAAAGAGGTGAAGCTAAAAAAAAAAAATAGAAATAAAAGTTAAAACAAAACAGCAAAAAATACCATGTAAATAATAAGGTAGGAAAGAAGAATTAGAGGGACAAAAAATGACAGACCTAAATCCAACTATAACAACAATTACAATAAATGTTGACAATCTAAATGCTCCAAGAAAGTAAAGATTATCACAATGAATAAAAAACACAGACCCAAATGCATGCTGTCTATGAGAGATGCAATTCAAACACAGAGACACAGGGAAGTTGAAAGTACACAGATGGAGTTGGAAAAAAAAAAAACATGCACACAGTAAGTATCAAAAGAATAGAATAGCTATTTAAATATCAGTTTAAAAAAACGTCAAGACAAAGAGTATTACTAAACTGAAGAAGAATATTTCATACTGATAAAAAGCAACATCCAAGAGAAAAAACGATTCCAAATATGCATGTGCCTAATATACTACCTAGCACTGATCTTAGCAAACTGCATGACAGTTAGTTAGCTTTCTAGAAATAGTTTTCAATGAAAGAAACAATGAGTAAAAGAAGGTAAGTTATATATGTCTCTTTATTTTGTTTTCATTTCGGTTTGATGGGCATCTGAGCATGCTATAACAAAGGAGAGATAGGAGAAAGAAACTAGTACAAAGTGAGAAGAGCTCTTTGATTGGAACATCAGAGGGGGGTACAAAGATTGTCATAGAATTTTTTAGACAAAGAGAAAACAGTAGTGACAAATGAGGAAACAATGGTAAATACAAATCAGATGGCTTAATGTTCCTATATTTGTAAGTTGGGAATCTAGGAAAATGCATGGAAAAGAAGCTGGCATCACATGTTGCCTAAACGTTCTACCATGCTGAGCTCCCGTTTCAAAGGGTTCATTCATTCAACAGTCATTTAATGGGATTAAATAGCATAGAGATCATATGAAACTTCTATTATAGTTACACTGGGTTCCTAGCCTTCCCTTACCTGATACAGCATGAATGAAAAGAGGTAGTTAGAATCCCAGTCCCCTTAGTAATAGCAACCATATTGGTTTCATGCAGTTGGAACTACAACTTCTGGTATACCCTTGTGTGATTTGGGGTGATAGAGGAGGGATGGAACATGTAAGCACATATTCATGTCACATGGAGATGAAATAGTGGCCTATTTTAATCTAGCTATTACATAGCTGTAAAGTTTGGGGAGAGTCTGCAGGAAGTAGGAAGGCCTCCAGCCAAGGTACACCACAAATGTGCCTTCATACAGCGCGCCACCTTATTCCTACTAGTCTTGCGTAAAAATGCAGTCTATTAGCAACTGAAAACATGGAAAAACTTGTTCCGCTTTGTGCACCAAAAAATAAACTACTACTAGTTCTGTAATCTTAGGTCCATCTTGGGTTCATCGCAGTATGCATTATCTAGTATAAACTGAGAAAAGGAAGCTCAAGCTTCTTTTCAGTCCAGCGGACACTCAAAAGATCTAAGGTAACATGGGAAATGGAAAGAGCTTCCTTAGCAATTCCAGGGGCTCCTGAGGCAATCACGTCTGAAATTACATCAACAAGAAGGAAGCAAATCTACTCAGTTTGCCCTAAAATAGAATGTCACCGTTTGAATTTAAACCATTGTTTGAAAAATTACACATAACGGGATCAGATTATTGCTGGGATAGCAATGGTTAGCTTTATCCATGGTAAAGGTATCACTTCTGAGTCTCTGCAGAAATATTTCTGAAATTACCTTATTTTTAAGAAAGCCAGATTTCCTTTTATACTGATGTTTAAAAAAAGCAGAGCATTTGAAATGTAAATAATGACATTAACCATTTTCATTTCTGTCAATTATAAAATAATACCAAAAGGAAAACATTACTATTCTCAGGTCATTGTTTAAGTAGTAATTATTATGAATATTTTATACAAACCATATTGTTCAATATGGAATATAAAAACTCAGGCCATGTGTGGTGGCTCACGCCTGTAATCCCAGCACTTTGTAAGGTCGAGGCGGGTGGATCACCTGAGGTCAGGAGTTCGAGACCAGCCTAGCCAACATGGCAAAACCCAGTCTCTCCTAAAAATACAAAAATTAGCCCGGTGTGGCGGTGGGTGCCTGTAATCCCAGCTACCCTGGAAGCTGGGGTAGGAGAACTTGAACCTGGGAGGCAGAGGTTGCAGTGGGCCAAGACTGCGCCACTGCACTCCAGCTTGGGTGACAGAGTGAGACTCCACCTCAAAAAAAAAAAATTCAACTAATAAGGAATTTGTAGTTAAGTGAGAAGATAAGACATATGCATACATAAAGATAACATAAAGCAAAAAGTGGAAAATTCCCAGGAAAGGAAGAAAGGAGTACTATAAGATTTCAACAATGTCTTACATAGACAGCAGCGGTCCCCAACCTTTTTGGCACCAGGGACCAGTTTTGTGGAAGACAATTCTTCCACAGACCTGGCATTATGGGGATGGTTTGGTGATGAAATTGTTCTACCTCAGATCATCAGGCATTAGGTTCTCATAAAGAGCAGGCAACCTAGATCCCGTGCATACGCAGTTCACAAAAGGGTTTGTACTCCTAGCTCCTATGATAAGCTAATGCCACCACAGATCCAACAGGAAGTGGAGCTCAGGCAGTAATGCTTGCTCACCAGTGGCTCACCTTCTGCTGTGTGGCCCAGTTCCTAACAGGCCACAGAATGGTACTGGTCCTTGGCCTGAGGGTTGAGGACCCCTGATATACAGGACGTTTAGGGAAGAACTGTTCCAAATACTACTTAACTCTAGGTTCTGGAGCTATTGCTGTGGATAAAACAACTATTTTTGCCTTCCCAAGACTTATTTTTTAATAGATATTAATCAGGAATTTGCATATATGTATTATTGGCATATAAAATACGCACAATGACCTGTTATTGTTCATAACGGATCCTTCAAGTTCCTGTACTGCAGAGGGCTAACCTGGTACTACCTAAACTAATAATTGTGAATCACCCTCTCACAAAATAATTGTTTTCCTGAAACAATGAAAGTCTGAACCTTAAAGTTTGAGAACAGCAGCAATAAAAATTGTAATTAAGTTTAACCAGTGCCAGCTAGTATACTATACGCTGAATGTTTACGCCCCACCCTCAGTTCCATAGGTTGAAACCTTATCCCCAGGATGATGGTATCAAGGTAGGGCCTTTTGGAAGCAATTAGGCCATGAGAGCAGAGCCCTCTTGAATGAGATCAGTGCCCTTGTAGAAGAGACCCCAAGCAGCTCCCTTGTCCCTTCTACCATGTGAGGTTACAGCAAGAACACCGCAGTCTGTGAACCTGGAAGAGGGCCCTCACCAGATCCCAAATCTGCCAGTGCCTTCATCTTGGAAATCTCAGTCTCCAAAACTGGGAGAAATAACACTTCATAAGCCATTTAGGCTATGGTATTCTATTATAGCAGCCCAAACAGACTAAGACACAGTACTTTTTCTACTTTCATGAAGTAAGATAAGATTCTGGGTAGCTATCCAGTTTGTCCTGAGTCATAAATTTATATTTTGTGAAATTACTTTACTTTGAAAGGCTAAACACTCCCAAATAAAATATTCTTTTTTTTTTTTTTTTTTTTTTGAGATGGAGTCTCACTCTGTCACCAGGCTGGAGTGCAGTGATGCAATCTCGGCTCACAGCAACCTCCGCCTCCCAGATTCAAGTAATTCTCCTGCCTTAGCCTCCCGAGTAGCTGGGATTACACGTGCCCGGGCCACCATGCCTGGCTTATGTTTGTATTTTTAGTAGAGACGGGGTTTCACCATGTTGGCCAGGCTGTTCTCGAACTCCCGACCTCGTGATCCTCCCGCCTTGGCCTCCCAAAGTGCTAGGATTACAGGCATGAGCCACCACACCCAGCCCAAATAAAATATTCTAAACCATCATAAAATAAACATTCAATGTTCTGTATTTTCTGGGTATATTTCTACACATAAATACATCAAGTGTAAATAAGACATTCATTCCTAGATACACATACACACATATAGATACACACACACACCATGTATACACCAAATGTATATATGTAATATATATGTGCAAGATAGATAGATACACACACACCAACATCTTAAATCATTATGACCTGCTGAAGAAATTACTTTCCTCTAGTATTTCCTCCTTTCTTCCATATGGCCCTCCTGGTTGGAAGAGGGTTAGTATGAAAGACTCAAGAGAAATGAAAACTCTCTGTACCTCCCAATGGTTATATTTTAAATACCAATTTCATTGGAATGTGAATATACTAAACACACGATTTACTTTTTCCAGTTTTCCCTTTGCATAGTGACAACTGTATAATAAATCACTGAAAGCTTCCCTCTCAATCTTTGTTTCTGACTCAGTTTCACTGAATGCTTATGCTCACCATGCTTAATGGGTACCAATTCTACACTTGGCCCACAGATTCTGTACAATGCACCATGAGACATATTTTGTCTTACATCGGTCTCAATCTCACAGATGAGACCACCATATAACATATGTTAAAAAAAAAAAACCAAACTCAAGAGTGGATGAGCAGGTTGAATACACAGTCCTCAAGGGAGTGATCAAGGAACAGAGTCTGCATCCTGCCCACCACATGGGTCTCCCCAGAGCCAAGAATTATTTGACTTGAGACAGAAAAGTTAAGGACCAACTAAGGCCATGCCCCAAAGAGCAGAGGCTTAAATACCAGGCAGATCAAAGGCAAGAACAGAAATAAAGTAAAAAAAAAAAAAAAAAAAAAAAAGCACTCAAAGATATTAGACCCAAAATAGGACCACACTGAGACTTTACCTTAAATATAATCAAAAGCACTGAAAACAACCTGCTTTATTACTACTTGAATCAATATTATTTAATGTCACATTCTAGCTAAAGACATCTCTCATATCACACTTCCCAATAGCACTGACTATATCGTGCTATGGTTATTCTCCTTCAATACCTTACTCCCTTTCTCTACCACCTTTGTTAAAAAAAAAAAAAAAAAAAGTACTACATAACAAAAGCTAAATGTCCTGCCACCTAGTGAAATAAACTGTAGCAGTATAGAGAAACAGGCAGAATGAACTAAACCCCAGCTATATCACAACACTAGCTATGTGACCCTGAGTAAGTCATCTAACCTCTCTAACTTTCCTCATGTAAAACAGGGGTGATAATAATAGCATTTGATCACAGTTCATCAGAGAAATGCAAATCAAAACCACAGTGAGCTATGACTTCACATCTGTTGGCAAGGCTATTAGGAGAGAGATAACAGGTGTTGGTGAAGATGCGAAGAAAAGGGAACCCTGGCACACTGTCGATGGGAATGTAAATTGGTACAGCCATAATAGAAAGCAGTGTAGGTGTTGCTCAAAATATTAAAGACAGAACTACCATATGATCCAGCAATTCTACTTCTGGGAATACATCCAAAGGAAATGAAAAGTATGTTGAAGAGATATCTGTACTTTCATGTTCACTGCAGCACTACTCATAAGAGACAAGATATAAAACCAACCAGTGTCCATCAACAGATGAATGGATAAAGAAAATGTGGTACATATACACCATGGAATATTATTCACCCATAAAAAAGAAAGCAATCCTGCCATTTGCAACATCATGGATGAACCTGGAGGGCATAATGCTAAGTGAAATAAGCTAGACACAGAAAGACAAATAAGGAATCTAAAAAACTTGAACTCATAGAAACAGAAAGCATAACGGTGGTTGCCCAGGGGTGGGAGGTAGGAAAATAGGGAGATATTGGTCAAAAGGTACAAACTTTCAGTTATAAGATGAATAACTTCTAGAGATCTTATATATAAGTGTGGGTGGTGATGGATGTGTTAATCTGATTGTGGTAATCAATGTGTATATCAACTCAGCATGAATATGTTCAATACATACACCTGGAATGAATGTATTCAATCTTTTTCAGTTACATATTTTAAAATTTTAAGTGTGTGTGAGTGTGTGTGTGTGTGTGTGTGTGTGTGTGTGTGTGTATGAAGTGCACAGAACAATGCTTGGCTCAAGTTAGCCCCCACATCAGTACTATTATTTAAATTTAAAAAAATAATGAATGACCTCATATGCAATATGATTTGATTCACAATTTTTCAAACCATGAGACCACACATTTGTTTGATATGTTCCTAGAAAGTATTGTAACAAACACCTACTTAGGCAAATTCACTACACTCGGATCAAATTTCTTTAGAGGACCTTAAAACAAAGAGCCTATATGTGCACATAGACATGTACTGTGTACATATTATATACTCACACATAAAATTCCTTCTATTACTCACATTCTCATAGAGAGCTTGAAGGGTCTCCAGGTCAACCACAGAATTATCCAAGTTCACAACAGCTGTGGAAAAAAAAGAAGAATATAAATTGCCATAAGCCACCTGTGAAAAGATGTTTGACCATCTCAGGCAGCAGGCTCACGGCTCAGCAGCCAGAGGGAGCAGGGGCTTTAACTTCAATGTTTCCCCTTGCCCCCACTGCAAAGCCTGCACCAGGAATTTCGCTGGGCCAGGTGTCAAGTGTTAAAGCTTTCACTTGCTCCGCAAATACTAAATCCCATGAAAATGGCCCAGGCAAAGGTCAGAGAGAAACTGTGAGGTCTGTTTTTCACAGCCGAACTGAATGAATTTGAAAAATCTGCTTCATACCAGCAAAATAAGCAAATCACTCCAGTGAATGCTACATCCCAGTTTTATATCAATAAATGCTTAAATTCACCAGTATATCTAGGACCTTTGACAAAGGTGAAATTTAATCATTAAACAGATGGACTTAGTATAAAAATGATGGGGGCATTTCCTATTATAATTCCTCAAAATATTATAATCAAAGGATGAATCTTTTATATTGGTAGTGGTATTAGCACAGATCCTACCTTAAAAATCCATCCTTCAAATATATACTACCCATGGTTATACAAGGAAGAAGCAGGATAGATAATAGAAAAATCAGCAATATTTTCTTTACGCATTTGTTGCCTGGGGAAATTTGTATTGTATTTTGGAGTAGGTGTGCTTTATTACTTGCTTTAGGCATAGGTTAATACAAATCATTCTGTGTTTTCTACATGGATATTTGGTAGAAACAAGGTGAATTTGCCTTGATAGAATTTGTGCCAAGTAGCCAGTGAAGCTCTTGGGGAGTTAAAAATTTCCGGGACAAAAATCACCAAGTGAATAATCACAAACTGGATATATTTATTTTGATAAGAGGCATTTTACAATGTCTCTTCTCTCAAAGTTTCACATGAGACATTTTCTAGTTGACTCTGGCAAAATCCCAAGAAAGAATTTAAAAAGACAAGTGGGAAATCGAAGCACAGGATGGATAAGAAATCTAAACAAGGTAATTTAGCATTTGTATTTGGAGCTGGGAAGGGAGCCCAGATTCACCAAAAAATATTGTACCAAGTAGAATATGATACTTCCACCCTAATAATAATCCACTATCTCAATTTCCAAAAAAATTAGGTGTGAAATACATATCTAAGAGTAAGAGTCTCAGACAAATCTTATTCATTAGACCATATAAGGCAAAAATATCGTGAACTTTAATGTTTCAAAGTAGTAAAGGCACAGTCCAAATACCTTTGACTATATTTCAAAAATTAATTAAAAAGGATTAGCTAATAATTTTGCTGTGATAATATGTAAGAAAAGGCACAAAACCCAAGTAAAAACAGTAAATTTATGTATGGAATTATCTTCTTTCAATTTGTGCAGAGTCTAGCTCTTCAAGAATATCTTACAGTGAATCCAAAGGTTTCTGATTTTGGAATTCATCAGCTAGCTAATAATCCAGTAATTCTCTACATGATAAGAAAACTATAAAGGAAATGCAAGGGGTCAACTTGGTGTCAGATTTCATCCCCAGAACAAGGCAAAGAAACACAATAAAATCATTCATGATCAATTCAAAGCTCATAAAGTACACAGTTGTCCTTTGACTTTATCCATCATTTTAAACCATACTATTATACCCACAAGTTTTCCCCACATAAAACTTGTGAATATCCTGAGGTTTCTCATCTTTCTATCTCATGCAATGTCATATACATGAGATCGAAAGAATATTCTTAATAATGAATATCTTAATACATGTTATGTGCTCCTAAACAAGTTCTCAAAGGGTCCTAACCCATGAAATCTCATTTTTTACTCATCCACAGAAAATCTCACTGGAAAGCAGCACTGTTACTGTTTCTCCATATAACTTCCCCCTAGTTGACCTGAGAGAAATTAACACAATTCAAATGGGAACGAGCAGTTTTCAGGGCAAAATCTAATCATGCTTTTGTAGCCAAAAAGAAAGAAAGATTAAATACTGACAGATGAATGGATGCAGTGATAGAAATTCTAGACAGGAAATAAAGGTAAAAGAAGCAATTTGGGAAAGATTACAATTATCGAAGTGCCATACTTCCTCCCCAGTTTAAAAAGCATATGCTAACATTTCAGAAATCAGGACTTAGATCAAAATGTCTATGTTACTAGACGTTTAGTAGCATCTTCCATTTCTCCCTTCCTTAAAATCTGTGATTTGGTCAATGGTACATTTTCAATGGATGGAATTCTAAAATCAAGGAAATAAGCATTCCCAAATGTATTCAACAAATGTGAGGTGTTTCCTATACATCAGGGATTACACTAGTATACTAGAAGTGTTAACAGTTACTTGAGTAATAATGATTTGAAGTTGGAGCTATTTGGGTGGGAATATGCTGAATAGCCCAGCCTTGAAAGTCTGCAGACAACTGGTAATGCACAGAGAAGAGAATACCATGATCAGAGTTCTAGATCATGCTAAGAATGACTGAATGCATTTTTTATTTTTTACTTATTTACTTATGTACTTACCTACTTACTTATTTATGTATTTATTTATTTCGGTGGCAAAAAGATTCAAAGAAAAAACTCCTCAGAAATTTCTTGGTTCCAAGTCCAAAATTTCAGCCTTGTTTCGGAGGAAAGAACCTGAGTATTGAAATTATATCAAGGTGACAGTTCCTCCAAAGGGAATATTATTTTTACAAGATGCTGTTTCCTGATGTGGAACAAACATAGAACATGGAATCGAACTAAACTAAGTTTAAATTTAAATTTTTATTTGCTGCTGCATTACTTCAAGTAAGTTACTTTTTATAAGTTTCAGTTCCTTTATGGGGCAGGGGCAAGGAAATAATGGAAAATATTAGCCAAGTTTTGGTTTGGGGTTTTTGTGGGGCTTAGAGGCAATAACAAGTAAAAGGGTCTGACATGTAGTTGGTTAATGTTACCTCCCCATGCCAACTTTTCACATAAATTCAACTATTAGAACATCCTTCCTGCTCAAGTGAGCCTTGCTATGAAGCCCAAGGTTAAACGAGTTGACTTTTTTTCAATTTGTGTTTTAGCTTCCCCGTGTATCCAAAAAAAAGAAAAACAAAAAATCCATTCCAACTGCATCTACTGAGGGATGGAACCTTTACCTGAATGATAAACCATTAGAGTGAAACAAGAGAGCCTGGTACAGAACTACCTGGGCTTCTTCATTATACTCTGTCTTGTTTATTAGCATTTAAATGATTAAGCAGAAGACTAGATTTCAGATAAATCCAAAATTTAAAAGAATATTCAGTGATAAATGTTTAGTTCAGATTACTTTATTCTCTAATATTCAGCAAGGTGTTAATGTGATTACATTTCAGATTGGAGGTCAGATATCTCACACTCATTTCCTCCTTGCTGCTTTAAGATGCTGAGTAACACCCATCCTTGTCTGCGACTCTTTACAATTCCCACCCCCACCCACCCCCTGCAGGTCTACAATGCAGTTTTAATCACTTTCTCAAAAATATATATAAATCAATTTAACCAGGAAGCATCTGTTCTGTTTTTATGTGAGTGGGTTCAAGGAGAAAGGTGTTGAGAGGAACTATAGACCTTTTTTGCACATTAAAAGATTATTCACTTATTTGTCAAATATGCTACATTTCCAGGATTAAAACAACGGAGATATTTACCACTTCCTTTAAACAACCTACAAATGACCACGTGTTACTAATCACTCCAGCTGGATGTGGTGGCTCACGCCTGTAATTCCAGCACTCTGGGAGGCCAAGGCAGGCGGATCACCTGAGGCCCAGAATTCGAGACCAGCCTGGACAACATGGTGAAATCCTGTCTCTACTAAAAATACAAAAATTAGCCAGGTGTGGTGGTGCATGCCTGTAATCCCAGCTACTCGGGAGGCTAAGGCAGGATAATCACTTGAACCCGGGAGGTAGAGGGCCTAGATCTACCTAGGCCAAGATCTACGTGAGCCAAGATCATGCCTCTGTACTCCAGCCTGGGTGACAGAGCCAGACTCTGTCTCAAAAAAAAAAAAAAACAAAAAAAAAAAACCAAACAAACAGACATCACTCCAGACCAAAATAGACAACAATTCTTGTCTACGATTTTATCAAATGCCAATGTCTAGATAGAGAGTAGAACATAGTAATCTTTCAGGCTTTCATACCAAATGGCTGTGTGTCTTTGATCAAGACACTAAACTTCTCTGAGACTTTATCAAGTGGGATAACTTTCGTTTATAGCATATGCTTATCATGTGGGGAAAATAAGTAATTATATAGTAGAAAAATAATTCAGAAAGGCTTGGAATAATGGGTGTGATTAATTTTAAGGTGTATGTTACCTGTAAACACATTGGTTCAGAAATTAGATTAAAACTAGGTGCTAAATTAAAACTAGGTTCAGGACTAAACATTTGCGTTCAATAGTTAAAAGTTAATTTCACAATAGCTATTCTCATCATGAACTCCTCCGGTACGAACTTGCTCCACCGGTATGAGCTCGCTAAGATCCAATGTCATTGTTGTTAAAGCATGCTGTTAAAAAATGAAAAATGAAATGGCCTGTTTTGGAAGTCCAATCGTCAATTTAACCTAAGATATTTAAAATGTCTCAAAATGTCCAAACAGAAAAAGAAATCTGTTTTCTTTTGATTTTAAGATTTTGATCGATGACTGCATTACATTAAAAAAATAAAAGAATAAAGCAATTCAAAACAACCAAGCATTATAGACTCAACATAAGAAACAGTCCCACTCTTGACTGTGCGCAGGCAGGTGTCTATCCTTGGACACTTGGTCTTTGCTATTAACGTGTTCTCCTCCGTGGCTGCCTTTGTCAGCACCAGAAATGTGGTACATGCTTCTTATTCTAACTTACTACAAATGTTGAATTACCCACAGGCTAGAGAGCAAAGTAATCTATCTGTATGAATGTTTACATGATAAAATGAATCCTGTCTCTATACTTTCAAAGAACTGCACAGAAGGGAAAGGACTTATTTTAAATGTGCCTTAAAAGGAACTCATTTAAAACAAAGCACTTCAACAAAACATTATTAGACAAATTTGTTGATCTTTCACATATTTTGAATAGCCAGATTAAGTAGTTCACTTTATTTGTGTAATCCCTTTTTTTTAGAGAGAGACAGAGTGACAGGGTCTCACTCTGTCACCCATGCTAGGGTGCAGTGGTATGATCATAGCTCACTGCAGCCTCAGACTCCTGGGTTCAAGCAATCTTCTCATCTCAGCCTCTCCATGTGGCGGGGACAACAGGTACATGCCACCATGCCCAGATAATATTTCTATTTTTTTAATTTTTTTGTAGAGAAAAAGGTCTTGCTATGTTGCCCAGGCCGGTCTTGAACTCCTGGCCTCAAGTGATCCTCCCACCTCAGGCTTCCAAAGTGCTGAGATTGCAGGCATGAGCCACGGTGCCCAACCTATTTGTATAATTCAATATGATAGGATTACTCTTGTTGAATGCAACATTTTAAGCTATGGAACAGTGTTAGTACATGCCTTACATTGATATTTTTTAAAATCAGGGATCTGTTGGATGAGACAGGACTGGAGCAGTCTCTCAGGGCTGTGCTTGATGGCCCCTTCCTTTCATAAGCCATGAACACTTATCCCAGCCACTGCAGTCACCTACTTTAATCTTTCCTGTGTGACCTGCTAAACTGGTGGTAAAGATGCCCCAAACTAGAAAATCTCACAGTGTTTATTACCAAGTGTGTTATTCATTTCTGCAGGGCAAGTTACACCAAAGCTTAGGGGCTTACAGAGCACACATGGATTATCTCACACGTTCTGTGGGTCACAAATCCAGGTGCAGCTCAGCTAGGGGCCTTTGCCTCAAGGTCTCCCATAAGACTGCAATCACAGTGTTGGCGGGGGCTACGGTCTCATCTGAAGGCTCTGCAGGAAGATCTGTTTCCAGCCTTACTCACAGGCTGTTGGCAGGATTCAGTTCCTCAGGCTGAGGGCCTCAGCATCTCACTACTGGTTGGCTGGAAGTCTGACTCAGTTTCTTGCCAGATGGGCTTCTTCATAGACAACTCTCAAGGTAGTTGGCTTCCCTTAGAGTGAGACAGAAAGGGCATACGAGACAGGGCCTCCTTCTCTTTGTAACCTTATTTTGGAAGTGACATCCCATCACCCCTGTTCTGTTCTATTCTATTCAGTGTGAGTCGTGAGTGTAGCCCACATATAAGGGCTAGGGAATATCACAGGGCCGTGAGTCTCAGAAGGTGGGGATCTCCAGGGACCATCTGAGGGGCTGCCCATCACAACACATTGCTAACCCATGGCTCTCTGTTCCTTGGACTTCAGCTTCCAACTTGTGTTGCTCTATGGGTCTCTACCTTGTGTTAATTTCATTAATTCGAATGTTTTTATTCTCCTATTAGGCTCTAGGTTGACAAAAGACATGGAGAAGCATCATGATTCAGTGGAAAGAAAAAGTGCACTAGTCAGGAAGGCTGGCTTCTGGTTTAGGCATAACCTATCAAATCAGCTAAACCTCATCATTTCTATAAATAGAGATCATATGAGATACGTTCTGTAGATATACAGAGACGTGTGAGACAATATGGACAGACCCTTCCCTCCATAATTACATGGTCATGCTTCATTCACTGTTGTATCCTTTCTCTATCTAGAAGAACCCAGTACACAAAAGACTTGGAAAAACATCTTTCTCGAATGCTGAAAGGCTAAAACAGGCTGAGGTTAGCAATTCCTGAAAATCAACTCTGCCTTTAATTTTACTGGATAAACTGACCTTTCTTTGAGATCACTCTGATTGTCCTTTCATAAATAACTAACTTCACTCTAGCTGACATCATAGCTCAAAAATACAGAACACAAAGATAATATGTCATGTCACATTGCCACCTGATGGCACTGGAAGGCAGTGGGGCACAGTGACCACACAACTTATTATCTGCATAACCCAGAGAGTCTCAAGTTCCTCATCTGCAGAATGGACCTAATAAGAAGAGGACCTGCCCTACAGAGTTCTTGCAGGAGATTAAATAATAAAAGTCAAATGCAGTGCCACGCACAAAGCAAACACTCAGAAAATGTTGGTTGTTGTGATTATTATTACGGCCCATTTCACATTCCTATAATGGAAAATGTTTTTTTTAATCTCTCTCCAAATCAGTATCTTAGATTGAGAGGTTTCAGATGAACCAGGTTGAAAACATTCTCAGCAAAAAGAAAAATGACAGTTTCAGTTGTACTGATAGTAACATAGAAGACTAAACAAGTAACCAGAGGGAAGCCATTAACACTAATTTGGGTTAAAGTACATGGAAAGAGAAGTAGAGTCAGCAGAAGCTTAAACACAAAATGAGTACAAATCAGCCCATATTTACGGTTCATGCCCTCTTTTCACTGGCAGAGTATAAGGGCTTGAAGAAAGCATCTTTACCCCATTTAAAATACAGAAGCCACAGGAAAAGCTTTGATGAAGTTAGCTTTGCAAGCTGCTGAGAAGCAAAGACCTTTGTTTGAGCAGACACTCATCTTATGTAGCAGAGATCAGAAGCATCCTCTCATTTAAGAGTCAGGTTTGTCATCTTACTCTAGCTACCAGGAAACTACATTTTGTAAGAGATCTCTCTGAGGAACTGCAGGGAGCATGTCATTTCGACTTTAAAATCAGGACGACGAGGACATGTAAGCAGTTAATTTTTGTTTCACTGTATATTTCAGTGAAATAGAAACTTTTACATTTTGGGGATGCGTAATTGAAATGTATCTGACAGTATTTGTTATCTCTTTTGTAAATGTCCTACAAAACATTTTGGGAATCTGGAGTTATACACACTCCCCCATCTAGAAGAGCTGACAGTATAGTGAAGTAGAAAGACACATCGACAAATAACTACACAACAATTACACCACAATAAAAGCACAAGGTAGAGCTTGTGCAAACAGCAGAAAGAACTGCGTTGTCAGGTGTAAAAGATCCTCAAAGTGACAGAGTTTGAAAGTGAACGACTACTAAATAGATGGTCTAAATCTTAATAGCATCACCTAACATTCAGATTGCTTCATTCCATTTGCACTGTGATATGTATTAATACGTACTGCTGGGAAGCATCTCTGATTAAGATGGCACAGGAAGTACACACATTTGATTTTGTTCTCTCCTGAAGTTTCACTAAAGCTATAGTAAAAACATATTTAAAAAAGTAAACCCATAAGGACTGGAAGAAAGAAGATGAGATGACAGCAACAAAATGTGGAAGCCAGCTCTACTCAGTTTCGTAGACCTTAAAATGATAAAACCATAACTTTCACTGAGAAAACTGAGCACCAACCCTGAAGGCCAAGGAACTGGCAACAGGCACTTGTCCAACTGAGGGTAAAGCAAGGAATATCAGAAACAAGGAGCACTGGATGAATGCTGCCAGTCAGTCAGTTACATGCTCATTCTGAAAAAGTCCTTCCCAACTTCATCAGGTTGATTTTCTTGAGAAATTAAATCTAAGTCTCTGGACAAAGACACAGCAATCACAATTGTAGGATAGGTTGCTATGCTGAATACACAGGGACCATGTGGAGTACTGCATGTTGAATACAAAAGCCTCCATACCTCCATTCAGCCCTCCTCCCCCAATTTAGGGTCCAGAACACTGCCAGACAGGCCTTTACACCCCAAGCCAGAAATGGGAAGTCTCCAGGAAATCTCTCCATCCCAGGAAAAAAGACCAAAAGATAAAGACATGGGTGAATACCCGACAAAAAACCCACACCGAAAATGCTACACTGAACTCAAAGTCCAAGAGCCCAACATGAAGACTCAGGGCTTCTCATCACCTTTTAGACTTAAGCAAGAACAGACAGCCAAGGATCAAATCATCTATGGGAAGCCTCTACAAGGGATGTTAGAAACCAGAGCGGGGGAAAAAAAGGAAAAAAAAATAAAGCAGTAAAACTCTTCCAACTCCTACAAAGTGTCGTCAATACTTGTTGTCCCCACCTTCTTCTCTGCCCATCACTTCCTAAACCCACTCATCAAGTCTTTGCTCTGATTACTGAGTCACCAGTGTTTTAGATCTTGTGAAATCCAAATGCACATTTCTCAACCCTTGGCAGCATGTGACACAGTTATAAATTCCTTCCGATACACGTGCTAAACATTTATCCTAGCTTCCAGGATACCACTCTCTCTTCCTCTTCCTCCTACTTCTAATGTTCCCCATTCCTCAGTCTCCCCTGCTGGCTCTTTCTCTCCCTAACCTCTCATTTTTGGAATGTCCTAGGGCTCACTACTGCCACCCTTTCTTACCTCTATCTACACTCACCGCCTTGGTGGTCTCGCCCAGTCTCACGGTGGGCTTGAAATACTCCAGCACTTTCATCTCCAGCTTCCGACCTCCTTCCTGAACTCCTCACTTATAGAACCAACAGCCTTCTCAGCATCACCACTTGGGTGTCTAACAGACAGCACACTCTATACATGTTCTTCTGTCTTACATGACGGAGCCTCCATCTGCTTGGTGTTCAGAGGAACTGTCCTTAATTCCTCCCTTCCCCTCACCTTCCACATCCAACACATCATGAATCGTGTTGGCTTCACATTCCAAACACATCCAGAATATGACTTCACCTCACCACACCCACCCCTACCACCCCATTCTCAGACATTCCCGATTATTGCCTGCAATTCTTGCAACACCCTCCTAATTGAACAAAATGTTTCTTCAAACAAAAAACAGGGTAACAGAAAAACCCAATAGAAGATTTGGGAAATACATGTGAGAATTTCCCAAAAGTAGATCAAAAAGGAAACGAAGAGGAAAAAGCCAAGAAATTTAGACAAATTTAGGAAGGCCAACATCCAAATAACAGGAAAGAAAAGGTTGACCAGTTCCTGAGAGTAGATCCCAGCGAGTTAAGATTAACAAAAACCATAGAATCACGTACTCCCTCTGACCATATGCCTGCCAGATATAAAGCACTTGGTTCACACTCTAGCCCAGCCAGAAGCTGTGTCCCTGGTGATCCTTCTGTTCACAGAACTTACTCACTACATTGCCTATTAGTTTTTACGTTTTTAAGGACCCAGAAAAGGTCCTTAAAAATTTGAGGGACTCTGAAGCTAGAAGACAGATTACAACTTAGAAAGTTTCTCTGCCTTTCTTTTATAATCCTTCATCTAATAGTAGAAATATTTCCCTCTTCTTACCTAGCTAAGTTTGTGTTTGTCTTTAGGTGTTAAAAGACAAAACAATATAAAGTTGAGGAAAAGTTGTGTAGATGGACAAAGAATTCCAAGAGTGGACAGCTGGGGAAGGGAAAGTGCTTTTATAGAAGCTATCATCTGTATTCTAGTGGAATTAAAGAGAAATAAAAACTGAATTCCAATATCTTTGAGTTTATTAGGAAGTAAAATGAAAACACAGGGTCTAGATGAGGGGGAAAATGTCAGTCATTCCTGACTGTTTGTTTCTAACTCAATCCTCCCCCCCAGCTTAAAAGATTGGCTCATATTAGGGAGTGATATGGGCATCTAGTTAGAATATAGTGATGAAGATTATTTGAAATATGAATGAAATCCTGACAATTACCCACATGACAATATGGCCAAAGTGCTAAATACATTTGAATCAGTTAAAAAATTGTTTTCAGCAGTAAGTAAAAGAATATCTGAGTAGATAGAGACTTGAACAAAGCTAAGGTAGGTTGCCATTGATTCAGGGGATAAAATATGTTAGGGCCCAAAATTTTTAAGTGGTCTTCACATGCCTTTTCCTTTTCCTCACTTGGAACAATTGCTGCTACTGTACCAGCCATCACTTTCACATTCCAGGCCAGACGAAGGAGGAAAGAGGAAAGCAACAAGAAGAAATGCACAATGCCGATGGATCATAAATTTTTAGGAGACTTCTACTTACATCTCACTGACCGGATCAGTTTCCTATGGTCACCTGGAAGGAAAGGGAAACTGGAAAGTATGGCTCTAAATGTGGACGAACTGCTGTTTCTAACAAAATAGCAATTTCAAGCTCCAGTCTAAGTAATCTCCAAAACACTCCATAAATACCAAGGCTCATGACTTTCCCTACCTTTGGATTCCACCCTTTAACATTAATAAAAGCCATCTGATACACTCCAGCTACTCCCTCTATTGTATAAAAGTATGTGGTTGGTCGCTCCAAGAAGATTTTTAAGAGCCTAATAGCAGGGATCTTGTCTTAGACATTATTGTATCATGCCAGAGTGTCCTGCATATAGCAGACAACTGAAGAAGTGTGTAATGTGAAAAACAAAAGTCATTGCTGAACCTCCAGGGAAAAGTCATAATAGGTAACCTTAAGAAAGGATGCCACCACTCACACATTTGCCTTATTGGCTCCAGAAATGCACAAAGGCCGAAATGCCTGAGAAAGTGAAAGCCAAATAAATACTGGCATAGGCAAAAATCCCTGCTGCAAATGGTAATACAAGCATGAGCCTCTAAATAGTAATGAGGAGAGGAACTGCAAAGAAAAGAGCAACAGACAGACATTACTAGGGGAAGAAGCCTCCTTTTCCTCCTCTGCATCTATAATCTGTGGTGGATACAAAAGGCTCATTTTTATTTTCAGGGCTGCCTTAATTTTTATTTATTTCAATTACTGTTCTAATTAATCTGCTGAGAAGATGTAAGAAGGAAGAAGAAAAAAAAGAAAAACACAGCTTGGCAGAAATGCCTAGAACTATCATCCCTCAATCTTTATTTGAAACTCAATAAAGCATAGAAACCTTCGGGAGGTGCATGTCACTGTGCAACTGGATGTGAAAGGAGTCAAGAGTCACACCCAGCATTGTTTTCTAAGGAATAGAATGCTGATGCATCAATCTCCAGCTGAAAATCTGCACACCTGGGCAGTTACATTAAAAACTTCCAAAATGTATATTACATAACAAAAATTTTCTAAAGAGGTAGCCAAGCAACTTTTAAATTTGTGTTGGATTTTGCTTGGCTTAGTTACGTGAGCATATCCAACAGCTGATGAAAACTCATATTTCAAAGGAAGGAAGACACTTGCTACCATATTCATCGGAACATTTTACACTCGATGATAAGATGAAAGGAAATACTACTTGCATTCTTTCTGCATCTCACCACTAAGATGCTTGGGCACCTGGAAACCTGGGGCCTTTGAGTATGCACACAAACGTGGGCATCTTGCCAGAAGACGTGCTGCCAGGCATTCTTAACATACACCTGAAACCCTGCACACACGCTCGTGAGTAATATTTCAAGTAATTCTGGATTATCTAAAGACCATGATAAAGGCCAGTTAAATGGCACATATACCAACAGCATTCTTCTTTTGATCCCAAATTTAAATAGTGGCGTTCTATTCCTTGTATTTGTAAGACTTCTAAATTTTATTACTCTCTTCTGATTAAAAGCTCTAGTTTAAACAGTAACATGTTTACTGAGAAGTCTTAACTCACCAATATAATAACTCAAAAGTTGTGGTTTTCTCCAGAATTACATGAGACTTAGACCTTGTGTTTTGGATTTAGATAGACCTGAACTAAAAACAGGGCTCTGTGACTAACCAGCTGTGCATCTCTTGGAGAGACTTGGTAAGCTCTATGAGCTTTGGTTTATTCACATGGGAAATAGACATATCAGTGGTAATGTTATTATCCCCTTAAATGGATATTATAAAGATTAGAGGTAACTCCTCTATTGTGTGGAAAACAGTCCTTGTTATAGCAGGCACTCTAAAATGAAAGGTTCTTCAGTTTTCGGTCAATGTCTAAATAGCACATATACCTTTGTAGATATATTTGCTCTCATAAAGCAAAATATAAATTAGAAAATAAGACTATAAGTTTCGTATTATTGTTTGGACCTTAAAAATAAAAGGACAGTATATTCAAATCACGCATCTATATACAACTGGGCTAATTCCCAATTTCATGAACCAAAGTAAATGAAGATCTGCTTAAAGAATAATGGAAAAATGGGTTATTTTCAAACCAGCAGTCAGTGTATAAATTGCTCTACAGTAAGAAATGCACAAATACAGTACCTTAGAGATATTACCAAAAAATGAGTGATATTGTGTCATTTGTCCTTCCTTTATTGCGTATTTTAAATTTTGCTAATTAAATGGTACGACATTGAAAGGAGACCATTTATTAAAAACTGTAAGACAAAAATGTACTCTCGAGAGACATGCTTTTAAATATCAGAAATTAATGTAATAATTACAAAATATTTTTATTCATCCACAGAGAAGACAGAATATCTTCTGGAAAACATCATTGATTCATTGAACAAATATTCAGAATTCTAATTCTGAGCTAGGTACTCTTGTCCGCCCTGAGGATACAGCATAAACCAGACAGACACGGTTCCTGCCCTAGTAGAGTTTACACCTTGTTATCAAACAGTTAAAATACCATATGTCCTAGGAAGGAAGAAAACTGCATTTTTTATAATATCCTATAATTTAGAAATCACTTTAATTTGTACTATCTTCTCTTTTTGAACAGTTTAGCATGATGGAGCTTTACTGTAAGATACAGACAATAAAATCCCAGAATGCCATAGACTTTGCACTCAGGCTACATAAAGAAAGGCTTTCCTGCAAGAAAAAACTAAATCCCATACACAATCCAACACTGGTACATCTCAAGCATACTTGCTTATACAAGGTTAACGACATAAGTTACTGATTAAGTCGGTAGGCTTCATACACCTATGGGCCTTGTTTATAAGAGCTGTACAAGTTAAATTGTTAGAGAACAAATGCATTTTGTTTGAGTCAGTATGTCGCCGTCTTGTCTAGGCAGGAGGGAAAAAAATGGATACCAAGACTGTGATCCTTTTGGAATAAAATCTTTAAATGCAAACATGATTACCATTGTAGACTGTTTAATCTAGCGATATTGTATTTCATTTCTGTTTTTGGAGAGGTTTGTTGATTTGACCACACTGGGTACGACTCGGCGCTTATCTCAACTGTTTAGATAAGATTTATTTGACTTTGGCAGGTGACAAAATCTAGGGTGTGGAATAAGGGAGGTAGAAAAAAGACGGGTATATTCCCAGATAGTGTTTATTTTAAGCATAGTGTATAGATGAGCAAAGAGTTTCAAACAACGCACTGTACTTTATGTAAAACATCCACTGTCTGTTGAATGTTTTCCGTAAACCAGCACTGCAAAATGTCCTTTATTGGGCATAACAGATTTCACCTTCTTGCTTAGGTAAACATTTATGCTCTTGTAAAAGAGGGCTTAGTGAGTTCCCCTGGAAATAGAACCCTAACTCTGGGATCACATTTTGCCACTGTTTTCTAACACATGCTCTAAAAGGGGCACAGTGATAAACTTTATTTTGAATGTAAGCATATATATTGCTCCATAAGTCCAGAATCTATCAGAAATCTAAAATGTCTTATGCCAAAATAACTTTCATACCAATAAGAATCATCTTTTTTCAGTGTAGTGCTACACAAACATGTCTCACTGAAAGAAACCTAAAACAGAAAAGCTTGAATTATAAACACAATGATTATAATCACAATTTTAAGGGAAAAAATTTTCCTTTTTAAAATAGTTCACCTAAAACTTCATTTAAATATTCAACTTCTTTAGTATATGTAAACATTTATATATTGGCAGACATGCTGAGGTAGGGGGAAGAACTAAGAAGTTTGGTCACTAAAAATTAAAAATTCATAAAAAAAAGAAAACTCAGTTGTGAATTTGTAACATATGACTGAGAAGATCAGAGCTCACATACCAAAATTAGACATGTTAGGGTAATACCTTCCACTGTACTACAGAGATCACCTTAATCAACTTGTATTTCATTACATTTCCAATATGTTTAAAAACATGAAAAATCTAAAACCCACATATTTATCACCCTCCCTTTGGAATAATTTTGTTCCTATTTACATCAACATGTAGTTAATATATGCAAAAATATGATACACTGGTTTTTGTGTATGTTGAGTCATATTTTGTTATTTGTTCAGTTAATGAAGGTTTCTTTTTTCTCTTCTGAAGTATATGTTGATGTGTAAAAATTACTTTAATGTTTCCTTGTCTAGAAGAATGAGGAATTAGTTAAATATGGGGAGGTGTTTCAAATATTAGGATTTATCTGATGTGCTTTTAATTAATAAAAAGTTGCTTCTAAGTAAAATAAATACTTTTCAAATATAAGATAGAAAGGCCTCTGTTCTAATTCCTCCACTCACATTTTTGAGTTCTAATTAAAGTTCCAGAGGTGACTGGTGCCTGGAAAGTGGACTGCTAAGGGAATTTTCCTTCTATTTACTGTGCTGTCCTCACACTTTCCATTCTCTCCAGAGTTCAGTAAGTACCACCTGCTTCTTACAGTGATGTCTTCACAAAGGAGATTATCAGTTTTGCTTTTCCCAACCCCAACCTCTTCCTCCTTCATTGCTTTAAGTATCCAGTGACTTTCAGCATTTCTGCAACTGCAGAAATGAGGTGTCCCACACATTTTGATTTAATTGAGCAAGATGTATCTGTCCTCTTCTCACGGTATCAGAATTTTTTTTTCATTAAAGAAAACCATTTTTATTGTCAGAGCTTCCTAACATCCTTCAATCGCTCGTAATATGTGCAAATAGTAAAAATATAGGATAGGCATCACTGTGTTAAAAAGCTTGCATGGAAACCATTGGTTGGAGGAAGGTTTAACCTACCTCAGGCACCGTGAATTTTCAGCACTGACGTGTCCATCATATAACACTAGTTTCAAGTCTCTTCTCTTCCCCCACTGCCCAACTAGAACAAAATTACAGTTCGAGCTCAGGTTGCTCTATGAATAGTAAATGTCTCTTCAAGATTCCATTCAAATAACTGGACTAAAATTTAGGAACTTTCTCCATAGTCCCACACCTACTGGCTTGACAGGCCAGGAATCTCATTCCATCATTACAAAAATCTGCTATGGTCTTTTCCTTGGCTGCTCCTATACATAAATAATCCCATGAAAACTGAACCAATAAGAAGTAATGCAGACTTCAAATTTCACAACTTATACATATAAAGATACTCTGGTATTTTCATTTGTTTCTTATTTTCAAGATGTGCAAAGTCAATCTAAATGTATCTGTGTAAGGGAAATCGTTGCTAGTGGCTAAAACAGTTTAATAAAGCCCTTAAAAGTTAATCTCAGCTGAAGTTATGATCCTCATTGTTAAAGAAGAAGCAATTTCCTATTAATAAAATTCCTAAGGAATATCAAATCTCCTTCCATTCCTCGTCTCTTCTAGCTGAGGAAAGAGGAGAGTAAGTGGATTTGTCCTCACCTGCCAGGCTACCACAAAGGAAAACTCAACCTCTCCCCCAAATTCCTCTTTGGCACAGAATAAATGAGTTAAAGTCGAGGCTAAAAGTTAACTCCCCAGACTTCATCGTATTTCAACACTTCGAGCCTTTCACTAAGTATTCTGAAATTACTACTCAAGAGTATCACAGATGCTAGAAGAGTCACGTCATGTCTTTGTGACACCCAGACCTTGTGCTATGTGCAGCAGGTGATGGGAATACAGCACTCCAAAGATCGTGACCAAGATAATGACAACTGACCCTACAAATGCTCATTCCAGACACTCTGCAGCAGTGAGGCCAGGAGCCCCAAATGCCTGTTTATATAGTTATGAAATAAACTTTTAAAAGTGGGCACTTAGCAAGAAGCATTAATATATGCACAGTGTAATAGGAATCGGGGTTCATTGGACCACTGATAAGTACATTTGAATTAGAAATAATTCATCTCAAAAGTGTAAAGTATGCATGTTGGTAACTATTCTAAACATTTCAAATATTTCAAAAAACAGTAAAGCCTCTTAGAATTTAAATAAACATTTGAGTTCCATTTTTAACGAACTCAATATTTTTAAGTTTATTGTTTACCAGACATCTAAATATTTCAAAAGCCTTCACTCTGGTAAATAAGGCAATGTTAGAAGATGTAGGTACGGGCCAGGCGCTGTGGCTCACACCTGTAATCCTAGCACTTTGGGAGGCCAAGACGGGCGGATCACTTGAGGTCGGGAGTTCAAAACCAGGCTGGCCAACATGGTGAAACCTCGTCTCTACTAAAAATACAAAAAAATTAGCCGGGCATGGTGGCAGGTGCCTGTAATCCCAGTTACTTGGGAGGCTGAGGCAAGAGAATCACTTGAACCTGGGAGGCAGAGGTTGCAGCAAGCCAAGATTGTGCCACTGCACTCCAGCCTGGGCGACAGAGTGCAACTCTGTCTCAAAAAAAAAAAAAAAAAAAAAAAAAGAAGAAGATGCAGGTACTTAAAGTTGGGTAAGGCATAATCTTCATAAAACACATCCTTCTCCCTCCATTTATTTGAAAAAAAAAAAAAGAAAAGGCAGAAAGGTTCAATATAACTGTATTCAAACATGGCAGTCCTAGAGTCCGGGAGAGTTTAGACCTGCTGGTCTTAAACGGATTGATCATACCAGATTTTAAAATAAAAAATTCTAAGAATTAGAAGAAATATATTTTTCTAATGAAATAATTAATGTCAACTTGGATCCCATCAATAACTCAATCTGTATTCTCTTCCAAATGGCTACTGTGACAAATATTCAATGTTATTATCCAACAATCCACCAAAATGGTAATTGAATTTTCTGTTTACATTTAATTACAGTATTTTACGTTTATTAAATATAATATTTCCAACTTATCTTTACATGAATGTTAGGAAATCAAGAAAGCCGCTATTGTTTATGTTCCTCTGTATGGAAGAAACATTTAACAGGATCAAGGATTAAGTGGCAACAGTGCAAACACAAACACACAGCCTGATTTTAAAACAACTTCCTGATTTAAAACAACTTGGAAATGCAATTTCCCCAGTGAACTAGTGTCAAGTTTGATGAGAAAATGAGGCAACACTGAGCATTCTGTCCCCTTTCCAGGCAGAGCCTCGAAAAATAGAAAATATGCTCAATATAGAATACATCTCTCTTCGTCCTTGCCACTTGATCTGATTCTTACCCATCTAGAAATACTCTACATGCAACATAGTAGATTCAAGCAGTATATAATCTTGAGGATATTTTACAAACTTACATGATTGTGGAAAATTGAGCAGCCTGTGTAGTCTGCACCATGAGGGTCATGGTGGCAAATGGGGTGTCATTTGGAAAAGGATGGAAAACACTGACACACACCCCAATAGATAACTGCATCTTCCACTAACAATATGAATTGTGCATTTTCCTTTTGCTTTGGTGCAACTAAGTGTTCACATGATTATTTCAGATGATTGACTCATCTCAAGTGCATTGTTATCCTCTACTTAACCCCCAAGGTAGGGTCAAAGTGTTCTCATCAGTTTCACCAGGACACATGAAGCTTCTCCTCAAATTATATTGTCCCTCACACTCTTCCCTTACATCCTAACACACATTCTTAACCACGCACCATTATTCATGCCTTCCAGGGTCATATACACCCTTTAATTCCTCTATAATAAAATATCATATGCAAATGACAAGACCTCAACCCTTGTTAAAACCACCTCTTCACCTATTCTAATGCCTGTGTCCTGAACAGCTGAACATTGCAGAGAGAAATGCAAACCACCCTTAAAATCATGGCCACTAACCTCAGGTGGGCCCTTCACTGCTGCCCAGCATTCATACTATACTTCCCTTGCAGAAATGATAGGGATTGCCCAGGCTAGTCTCAAACTTCTCAAGCAATCCTTTGGCCTTAGCCTCCCTAAGTGCTGAGATTATAGGTGTGAGCCACCATATTTGGTTTGATCCCTCTTATACGCTGGATTCTTCCATTCCTTAGAGGTCATTTGCATGGATAACAAACAGGCTATACTTTCTACTTAAGAATACCCTTTCCCATCAAAAAGTGGGCAAAGGATATGAACAGACACTTCTCAAAAGAAGACATGTATGCAGCCAACAGACATAGGGAAAAAAGCTCATCATTACTGGTCATTGGAGAAATGCAAATCAAAACCACAGTGAGACACTATCTCACACCAGTTAGAATGGCGAGCATTAAAAAGTCAGGAAACAACAGATGCTGGAGAGGATGTGGAGAAAAGGAATGCTTTTACACTGTTGGTGAGAGTGTAAATTAGTTCAACCATTGTGGAGGACAGTGTGGCAATTTCTCAAGGACCCAGAACCAGAAATACCATTTGACCCAGCAATCCCATTACTGGGTATATACCCAAAAGATTATAAATCATTCTACTATAAACACACATGCACAGGTATGTTTATTGCAGCACTGTTCACAATAGCAAAGACTTGGAACCAACCCAAATGCCCATCAATGATAGACTAGATAAAAAAAAAATGTGGCACATATACACCATGGAATACTATGCAGCCATAAAAAAGGATGAGTTCATGTCCTTTGCAGGGACATGGATGAAGCTGGAAACCATCATTCTCAGCAAACTACCACAGGAACAGAAAACCAAGCACCACATGTTCTCACTTATAAGTGGGAGCTGAACAATGAGAACACATGGACACAGAGAGGGGAACATCACACACTGGGGCCTGTTTGGGGTTGGGGGGCTAGGGGAGGGATAGCATTAGGAGAAATACCTAATGTAGGTGACGGGTTGATGCATGCAGCAAAACACCATGGCACGTGTATACCTATGTAACAAACCTGCACGTTCTGCACATGTATCCCAGAACTTAAAGTATAATAAAAGACAAAAAAAAAAAAAAACTTAAAAAAAAGAACACCCTTTCTTGACCCCAATTTCCCCTACCAGCTAT